>NW_025791821.1:600000-865743 GCF_000001405.40 Homo sapiens | reverse complement strand
TCCGGATCTGCAATATTCCGTACCATCTACCTGGCTTGCGTAATGAAGTGAGACGTTTCATGTGTTCCTTGTGGGTCAATGGCTTGCCACACTCAGGATGTCAGTTAGGGCACAGGGCTCACATGCCAGCATTTCCAAAGGTCACGCAGCCCGCGTGTGCCTGGATGCAGCGCTACCTGGCACTAGCTCTGAGGGCTTCTCAGAGTAGGCTTACCCCGGGAGGCTGGGACTGCAGGCCAGCCTTGGTTGGTGCCGCCCAGGGAGATGCGCACCGCCTCGCACTGATTGGCCGCAGGGGGAGGCTGGCGGTCTTGGCGCGGCTCCAGGTGCCCTTTGAGTGCAGTCCGTTAGGTGGCGCCTGGAAGCCAGGTGCATGCGCCCTGAGTTCCCGCCCACCCACAGGCTACAGAAAGGGCAGCGCAGGGTTCCTGTGCTATGGGTCGGGCTGCACAGGCGGTGGTCTATGGGAGTCCGGAGAAGGACACCGTCTTCAGGGTGCACCGTCTTCACTCTGCCCGAGGCGCAGAGGGAGGAGGCAACCTTGAAGCAGGAGACAGTGCTGGTGTTGGATGACATAATGGCGGAGGTGGGGGTGATGGCCGAGGAGGAGGCCCTCGTGGAGCGGCAGAAGGACCAGCGGGCACAGCCTGGCCCTGGGCCCATGACCCCAGAGTCTGCACTGGAGGAGCTGCTGGCCGTTCGGGTGGGGCTGGAGCTGGTTAATGCCCAAGCCAGGAAGGCCTTTTCTCGGCAGCGGGAAAAGATGGAGCGGAGGTGCAAGCCCCACCTGGACCGCAGAGGGGCCATCATCCAGAGCATCCCTGGCTTCTGGGCCAATGTTGTATCCTTTTCAGTGTTTCTTCTGCCTTTCTAGTTGAGAGGTGCTCTTGGGGAAGTGTAAGTAACTTACGGGCAGCTCGGCATCTATCAATTTTTGAGAAACTTATACAAGTCTCAGCTAAACAGCTGGCACTGGACCACTGCCCTTTCAGCTGCCTGTTGCTGACTTCTTTCGTTAGATAATATCCCCCAGGCAGCAACTGCTTGTGTCACCCTGCCTCCACTTGATATCCTAAAGACCAATATCTACTGTTTAAAACACTTTAAGTCTTAGATATAGCATAAAGGGTTTATGGGATACAAAACAACAGTCGGACACAAGAGATTCAGTCATTCTTTTTTAAACTTTTGTTTGTAAGTATTTTGTAGTTTATCTTATCAGAAGTGAGAGACCAAGAGAGTAAAAACACTGCTTCCTTTTCATCCACCCTAATGCATCTCAAACATATGTCTCATCACTTGCTTTGTATGAGATGTCTGTATATGAGCTCCCATAAAATGTTGCATAATTTATACAAGCAAATGGTCCCATGAAACAATATTAATTTTTAAAGATAAATCCACATTCAAAAGTAAAGATTTTCAAAACCAGAAATAATTTACAGAAATGCTAAAAAATGTGGCATAATTATCATAATGTGGAAATGGAAATTCAGACAAACTTTCACATTGTTACTGAGAGTACTTTTCCTTGAAGACCTACAGTTCTGGCTATCTGCATTCCAGGAATATTTTTCTTATTTTTTATCATCTCATAACCAAATGGCCAACTAGGTTAGATTTTCCATGATACAGTGTTTGACTGAAGAGTCAATAACCCTTGCAACAGAGAACATCCTTAGAAATTAGTTGACCAAAGTCTCAAGTTTCCCAAGGCCAGTCCTTAGGGTTCAATCTCAGACTGTAATAGTGTTTTCTGCAGAACAGTGTCTTTAAGTAGGCAGTTATTTTCACATTTATAATCTGTTGGTGGAAACTCTGGTCCTAAAGTAAGAGCAGAAGATGCATCTCTCCTTTCATGACAAGTTTGACACTCAGGAGATGATAAACTTATAGGAAAAAAATTATTTTCTCCATTTTTCTTTGGCCATTTATTCCCAGAAGAAATTAGAATAAATATATGAATGATATTTAAAAACATTTTGGAAAAAATTAAAGAATATATTAAGAAACAAAACTTTTGCCAGTATCAGTCTTTGACAAAAAAGTTAACCATTTTAACTATAAAGTATAAATGTATTTACAAATAAAGTGATGCATAGGGAAATGTTTCTTGCATTGTACACACTTTCTCCAGTGATGTCCTAGCCACTCGTTTAAAATGGGTCATTGATTGAATTACAACTATAACCTTAATGCAAATAGTACAGTAGAAAGTTTTTTAAAACAGAACACATGTACACAACAGTTGGTCTTCCAGTTGCACAGTTTTTTTTTATGCATGTGTGTATGTCTATGTAATTTTATATACTTATAGAGATTAGATTTTGGGCAAGCAATTAGAAGTAACCAGATTTTCTTTGTAATAAGAAGGAAAATGTTTAAATTGAAATTTTAGTTGAACAGTAAAACTGTATAAGAATTTACACTGCTCAGGGAAAAGATGTATTGTGTTTTGCAGACTGAAAGAGTTCTTTCCTGAGTAACCCAGTGTTGGTATTCACTGCAGAAATAGATTTGTTTTGGTAGACCCCTCTAACCAGCTACCTGCAGAGAAGGAAATCCTGCTGAACAGAATTATAAATAGAATAGTTAAATATTCTTTCATTTCAGTGAAGCGTTCACATACGATATTCTCTTTTATTCATTTATAAACATTTATATTTAATACATTTCCCAAAAAAATAAAGTAATTATAAAAATTAACAAGAGATTTGTATATTCCTTATTTAAAATTTTTAGCCTATTCAAATATAAGAAGTCCACTCTGAAATGCCTGAAGATGATATATGAAATGAATAAGAAAAGAAAATACAGCAGAATGTACCAGATGTTTTTTGTGTGTTGGATGTACATATATCTGTTAGCTTTTAGTGGCAGACAGAGTGCAGTCTACATAATTTTATTCATAATAGATGCCTATGCATCATACATTCACACATAAATATTATTTCTCTGAAGATTGAAATAGAAAGCTAGGAGAATACAACATGACACATATGCTGAATTACATATAAGCAAGTGTGAATTATGTAGTTAAATGATCTCTTCACCAGTCTTCTTCTCACTCTCTCACTGGGTAGTCTAAGGATTAATTAAAGTTCCTCAGCTCTTTCAAGCTAAGAAACAGTATGTAAGTGCTATGCATTATCATGGTAACACAAGAGGGAGGTATAAGTGATTTATAACTTCACAGGCTCTGTGAAATGTGTCTAGCCTGATAGGTTTTTCTAACAGTGTTTTATGGATTGGAAAGTGCTTATCAGATTTGAAGATGGAATTTGCTCTATTAAAATCATGCTAATCTGCAAAACCAATCTTTGTTCTATATGTATGTAGAGTGATGTTTCTCAAAATAGAAGAAAACTTGGGATATGATTTCGGAGGTAATATAATAAGGTAGAATGGTGACATGAATTATAACTTATCTATTATTGTTTGACTCAGCTGATGCTCTCTTAATTAGGGCAACTGAAGTCTAATTAATTTGCATAAGGTAGCCATCCCATTTTTATACTTTTAAAGACAGTCAGGAGACATCACCGTTTCCACAAAGCTTATATAGATTTTATTAGCATGTTTCAATTACGTATCACTGCAATAATGTCAATTCTGTAATGTAACATATTATTTCCTTTAGTAGTGTATTTATTTTATTTGTATTTCATTTTTAGTATAGATTCAGAGAGTACATGTGCAGGCTTGTTACAAAGGCATATTGTGTGATGCCGATGTTTAGTCTTCTGTTGATCCCATCACCCAGATACCGAACTTTGTACCCAATAGGAAGATTTTCAGCCCCTGCCTCTCTCCCTCTGTCCCACTTTGGAGTCCCACTGTATAATGTTCCTGTCTTTATTTCTGTGTGCACCTAAGTTTAAGCTCTTTTTCATAATTGAGAATATTCAATATTTGTTTCATAATTGAGAATATTCAATATTTGTTTTTCTGTTTCCTCATTAATTTGCTTAGGTTAATAACACAGCTAAGTCCGTGTTGCTGTAAAGGAGATGATTTTGTTCTTTTTATGGCTGTGTGCTAGTACAGGGTTCATATGTACCACATTTTCTTTATCCCATCCACCATGGATGGGCTCCTAGGTTAACCTCGTGTCTTCGCTATGGTGATGAATATGAGATTTCCTGTGTCTTTTTGGTAGCTTTAATGATTTATTTTCCTTTGAGCATATACTGAGTAATATGATTGCTGGGTGGAATGGTAGTTCTATTGTTAGTTCTTTTAGAAATCCCCAAACTGCTTTCCACAGTGACTGAACATTCTTACCACCAGTGTATAAGAGTTCCTTGTTCCCTGCAGCCTTGCCCACATACATCATTCTTATTATTTTCGCTTTTTAATAATAATAGTCATTCTGACTTGGTATGAGATGGTATCTTGTTGTGATTTTGATTTGGATTTCTCTGATGATCAGTGATGTTGAGCACTTTTCTTATGTTTCTTGGCCACTAGTATGTCTTAAGAAGATATTTTTAAAATTTTCTCTCATTATGTAGGTTGCCTTTTCACTCTGATAGTGGTTTCTTTTGCTGTGCAGAAACTCTTTAGTTTAATTAGATCCCATTTGTCAATTTTGGCTTTTGTTGCCATTGCTTTTGGTGTTTTAGACATGAAGTCCTTGCCCATGCCTATGTCCTGAATGGTATTGCCTAGGTTTTCTTCTAGGGTTTTTATGGTTTTAGGTCTAACATGTAAGTCTTTAATCCATCTTGAATTAATTTTTGTATAAGGTGAAGGAAGGGATTCAGTTTCAGCTTTCTACATATGGCTAGCCAGTTTTCCCAGCACCATTTATTAAATAGGGAATCCTTTCCCCATTGCTTGTTTTTGTCAGGTTTGTCAAAGATCAGATAGTTGTAGATAAGTGGCATTATTTCTGAGGGATCTGTTCTGTTCCATTGGTCTATATCTCTGTTTTGATACCAGTACCATGCTGTTTTGGTTACTGTAGCCTTGTAGTATAGCTCGAAGTCAGGTAGCATGATGCCTCCAGCTTTGTTCTTTTGGCTTAGGATTGACTTGGCAATGCGGGCTCTTTTCTGGTTCCATATGAACTTTAAAGTACTTTTTTCCAATTCTGTGAAGAAAGTCATTGGTAGCTTGATGGGGATGGCATTGAATCTATAAATGACCTTGGGCAGCATGGCCATTTTCACGATATTGATTCTTCCTACCCATGAGCATGGAATGTTCTTCCATTTGTTTGTATCCTGTTTTATTTCATTGAGCAGTGGTTTGTAGTTCTCCTTGAAGAGGTCCTTCACGTCCCTTGTAAATTGGATTCCTAGGTATTTTATTTTCTTTGAAGCAATTGTGAATGGGAGTTCACTCATGATTTGGCTCTCTGTTTGTCTGTTATTGGTGTATAAGAATGCTTGTGATTTTTGCACATTGATTTTGTATCCTGAGACTTTGCTGAAGTTGCTTATCAGCTTAAGGAGATTTTGGGCTGACATTATAGGGTTTTCTAGATATACAATCATGTCATCTGCAAAAAGGGACAACTTGACTTCCTTTTTTCCTAATTGAATGCCCTTTATTTCATTCTCCTGCCTGATTGTCCTGGCCAGAACTTCCAACACTATGTTGAATAGGAGTGGTGAGAGAGGGCATCCCTGTCTTTTGCCAGTTTTCAAGGGAATGCTTCCAGTTTCTGTCCATTCAGTATGATATTGGCTGTGGGTTTATCATAGATAGCTCTTATTATTTTGAGATACATCCCATCAATACCTAATTTATTGAGAGTTTTTAGCATGAAGGGTTGCTGAATTTTGTCAAAGGCCTTTTCTGCATCTATTGAGATAATCATGTGGTTTTTGTATTTGGTTCTGTTTATATGCTGGATTATGTTTATTGATTTTCATATGTTGAACTAGTCTTGCGTCCCAGGGATGAAGCCCACTTGATCATGGTGGATAAGCTTTTTGATGTATTGCTGGATTCGGTTTGCCAGTATTTTACTGAGGATTTTTGCATCAATACTCATCAAGGATATTGGTCTAAAATTCTCTTTTTTTGTTGTGTCTCTGCCAGGCTTTGGTATCAGGATGATGCTGGCCTCATAAAATGAGTTAGAGATGATTCCCTCTTTTTATATTGATTGAAATAGTTTCAGAAGGAATGGTACCAGCTCCTCCTTGTACCTCTGGGAGAAAATTTTTGCAACCTACTCATCTGACAAAGGGCTAATATCCAGAATCTACAATGAACTCAACATATTTACAAGAAAAAACATAAAACCCCATCAAAAAGTGGGCAAAGGATATGAACAGACATTTCTCAAAAGAAGACATTTATGCAGCCAAAAAACACATGAAAAAATGCTCATCATCACTGGCCATCAGAGAAATGCAAATCAAAACCACAATGAGATACCATCTCACACCAGTTAGAATGGCGATCATTGAAATGTCAGGAAACAACAGGTGCTGGAGAGGATGTGGAGAAATAGGAATACTTTTATACTGTTGGTAGGACTGTAAACTAGTTCAACCATTGTGGAAGTCGGTGTGGCAATTCCTCAGGGATCTAGAAATACCATTTGACCCACCAATCCCATTACTGGGTATATACCCAAAGGATTATAAATCATGCTGCTATAAAGACACATGCACACGTATGTTTATTGCGGCACTATTCACAATAGCAAAGACTTGGAACCAACCCAAATGTCCAACAGTGATAGACTGGATTAAGAAAATGTGGCACATATACACCATGGAATACTATGCAGCCATAAAAAATGATGAGTTCATGTCCTTTGTAGGCACATGGATGAAGCTGGAAACCATCATTCTCAGCAAACTATTGCAAGGACAAAAAACCAAACACCACATGTTCTCACTCATAGGTGGGAATTGAACAATGAGAATGCATGGACATAGGAAGGAGAACGTCACACACCGGGGACTGTTGTGGGGTAGGGGGAGCGGGGAGGGATAGCATTAGGAGATATACCTAACGCTAAATGAGGAGTTAATGGGTGCAGCACACCAACATGGCACATGTATACATATGTAACAAACCTGCACATTGTGCACTTGTATCCTAAAACTTGAAGTATAATAATAATAAAAAAGAAGATATTTTAAATAAACATACAAATGTTTCCTCTACTTATACATGAAATTCTGCCTGTGTCCTTCTCTCTTCTACTACGTGATTTTACATGGATAATGAGTCAAAAAATGTGAAGTGCTGGTAATATATTTTATCTCACACTTGTAAAATGTTTTTCTTTGAAAATACCACTTGTTCTAATTTTTAATTTTTTTAATTTCTTGGAAGTGACAATTGAGACAAGGAAATTGTAAAGCAATTACTTCACAAGGTGATTGCAATGTAAATGGTATTATAAAATTATTTGGTTTTGAGGAAAATTTAAAAAGATATAGAAATACAAAATAATATAACAAATACCAATTTAACCCCACTTAAAAATAGCAGCTATTAATATATTCCTTTTTCTACTTACATTACCTCTGGTTGTAATTGGAATATTCGCCCTCAGGTTAGTTTCCTTTTTACCATTTCTTAGGCACCATTATCAGGAACTGGTATTATATTCATATTTTTAAAATTTATTAAAATATTTATTTCTGAATAATACTGGTGTTTTGTGAATTTTGAGTGTTTATGTCAATATTATAATGTGTGTATTATTTCACATTTTTTTTCTGTTAAGATTCTTGTTGACAGCTGCCATTATTGATGGCATAGTTCGCAGTCTACTGAATTCTTATGTTCCATGATGGCTTTATTGAAATGCTACAATGAAAAACCTTCCCTATCCCTCCAGTTACACATATGTGAGAGTTTCTAATGAATATACTAGAAGAATGTCAGGACTGCAGTGTGTGTACAGTTTTAATTTTGAGGAGATAAAATATTCTCATTAGCTCCCTGGACTACCACTTTATTACTATTGTTGATCCATGCTAATCAGCTTAGCATATGTCTTAGATTTTTCATTTTTAGTGAAGTATTATTATAAGTTACATTAATTAGAACCAGCATGTGTGTGCTAAATGTTCATTTTGTTTAACAATTACAGCTTGTCAGGCCTCTATCAGTATGTGAGAAAAATAAAATGTTAACAGAACGATGACTTTAGTGTGGGGATAATCTGAAAATCAACTTTAGTTTCCTGACACAGTTCACACAAAACATAGATCCTGCTACTTTTCAAGGACTGCATGTAGCAGACTGAGTGACGGTAAATCAATATGCACTGAATCAGTAGTAGCTAGGGATGAGTAGTTTCTTCCAATCTTGCCTGGTGATGGAAGAAGTATTTGACATGGTTTATTTTTTGTTTTGTTTTGTTTTCTTTCTATGTGGTCCACTTATATGACACTCCCAGATCATCGTGTGGTAGGTTTGGGGAAAATGAAGGAAATAATAGGCTAGATATACGTAAATTATGTGCTAGAAATAGAAGCTTAACACACAGAGCATAGTTAATTGGTCTGGCCACAGTGGTTTTGTCATCTCTCATATACCTACAACTATTTATGGGCTGCTTGCTAATGACTATTTTACAAAAATCTGTTTCAGCAGCAATGGTTGAAAAATGCAAGTAGGTATTTAATTAAAAACTTCTCAATTTCCCTTTAAATCAAATTATGGGTTGAAAAGTGCCAATAAACAAATGATGTAATCATAAAGCCTTGTATTCCATGTTAGAACCACAAGGCTAAAAGTGATATCCTGAAATCCAGCATATAGAAAGCTGAGGGGAAAAAGCAGCTGCTATTTCAGAAGGTAATACTTAGTTACATTAAGAAAACTGTGCCTGAAGATGACATTTTCACAGGTTTAGTATGTGAATTCGGAAAAATTAAGCATATAATTCTGAGATGCAGGGCTTTTTATTTACATCAAATTACTATTTTTTAAAAAATCAATTGTGTATATATTTTAATTCTAATTTTTTTGCAGTTAAGAAATATGCATCAGTAATTGTTAGTATGTTAGCTCCATTAGCTACAGAAGAAATTCCAAAAGAATTCAATAATGACATTTAGATGTTTCAAACAGAAAATTAAATTAAAAATGGTTTGAACATTTAGTCAATCATTGGAATTAAAATAAAGCTCTTGAAATTTTATTGTGCGAGAAATAAAACATTGAATAATGTGACAAATGATTTTTAATGTTCAGTTACACTAAACATTGTTGATAACTTTTATTGGTAACAAGAAGCAACTTTGGAAAAGCTTGCAAGTAACTTTATTTTAAAAACCAATATAAAATTGAAAGAAATGCATTTTCCAGAAAAGAACTATGGATAATTATTGATAAGAAACAGATCAGTTCATATAAATATGTTCCGGGGTCATTATTCTGCCTACTATTTCTAATGTTTAAATAATAAATGTAAAGAAGCTATTTTTCTGTTTTGCTTGAAGATATGTAATTGTGGTTTTAAATTTTTGAAGGAATTTCATTTTCAAAAATAGTTGGAAGATAACTATGTAATAGATCCATCGATATAGTAAAAACAATTTGCCTGTAAGGAAATAATATACTAAATAATAAATGGTTTTGTATATGTTAGGACTCTTTTATCCTAAAAAAAATTTCCGTTGGAACAATAACCCTTGTAGTCACCCTAATTTTACTAAATATCATTAGATAGTCCTGTGGATTGATGGAAAAAATTACACTTTTCTTACATTCTTGACTCCACTCAGTGTTATTATTTTAATAGTTGCCAAGCTAATGAAGGAAAGTTAGAACCTAATGTGGTTTTGATTTATATCCCTGGATTACTAATGAGCTCAAGCATCTAGTCATTTTTCGTTGGTCATTTGACTTTCCTCTTTTCTGAAAAAGATCTAACTACTTACCTGTACTGCTTTTTCCTTCTCCTGGGCTAGATTGTATATATTTTTTCTTGTATATTTGTAAGAGTTATTTTTATTATTTTGGATACTGGTATTTTTATTTATATTTTTCTTAGTGATTTTTCTTGAGTTTTATAAACACTCAAGATAGTTTTTAGAATTTATGATCTGAAGATTTTCAAAAGGCTAACTCAGAAGTCATTTGTGGCTATGATGCTAACTTCAAATGAAAAAATAATTTTGCCACTTTAGCAAAACATACTTTAAAGATACTAATTAGAAAGCACTGAAGTGCTTAATTATGTCTTTTTCATAAAACTCATCTAAATAGTCATTTCAATAAAATCATTTACCCTTATAGTAAGAACAAATTATTAAATGTTGATTACCTAGCTCCTGCATGGTTTTCTAAATATCTCACAATTGTCATTTGTTAATAATCTCTTAGCATACTTGTTAGAATTACTGGTTCTCCAGGTCTCATTTCAGATGATTGAACCAGGATTTTGAAGGAAAATAGCTGGAAGTATCTGGACATATATTTTATGACCCACATAATTATTTGGGGTTGTTTGTGAAACTTTGGTCTCACACATAAGAGAAAGTAAAAAAATAACAAAACAAAACAAACAAAAAAAACCCAAAACACAAAAAAAATAAAAAACACACACACACACACACACACACACACACACACAAGAACATCAAGTCAGGAGTCAGGAATAAATACCTTATCCTTCCCTCACTCCAGGCTTCTCAAGTTGTATGCCCCTAAATGCATTTTCATTCTTGGCAAATACTACTCCAACTATCTAGCACTTCAGAGTAGTAATTAACCTGTTAGTTTGCAATTTAGCAAAAAATAAGAAACCTATTTCTTAACATTTTCTTTAGGATCATATTTCTAGCTATACCCTGTGTGTCAGTTAATGCTATGTATGGCTATAAAATAGCAGTATTTAACAAAAATATTTGACCACTGCAGCAAAATTACCTTCTGTAAATGATCCACTGCTACTAAGATTAACTGACAATTTGGAGATTGTACTGGCATTTTGAATTTCATACATTCAAGGAAGATTGGAAAGCATCTTCAGATGCCATTGTCTATAATGATAATAGTTAATAATCATATTAACTTCCAAATTTTTCTGTGTTAAAGCAGGTGTGCAGGTATTGGATGAACAGGTAGGCCACTACTGTGGTTAGAGTTGTAAAAGTTTTGGTGAAATTGCACATGACAGCATCTCCACAGAAAATTTAGATTTTGGCACAGCTAGGAGAGGTGGAAGAAAATGACGTTTTTGTTGTTGTTGTTGTTTTTAATGATTCCCCATCTGGATCTTAAAGGGAGATAGCACAATATTGTGGAAAGAGGTATTTTTGTAATCTGAAATTAGACTTTAAGAGAAGTTAAGTATTTTGAGACCCAAATTTCAGACATATGAAGTGGGGTCTAAAATATCTAGTACCTGTATATGTAGTTATAAAGATCATGTAATGATGGATTCTATTTGCCTTGTACTTGTCTGTAAAACAAAGCCCTCATTTAATTGTGTTACTTAACATAGCTTCATGTGGGCATTTTTAAGGAACATTTATCTCGTGATAAATAAAATAGTAATATTTGCAGAGAATGGTACTTTCTCCAACATTGATATTGCAGAGCTCCAGCTGTTCTGTAGAGAAACTGACACAAATTGAAAAAAAAAAAGGATGATTGAAGGTTGTTTAGGGGCCAGTCATTATTTACTGAGACTATATAATTCTCAGAGGGGACACACAACCTGTGAAGAGTTGGATGTGAATGATGAAGAGTCATTGAGAAAAGGCTGCCTGAAGAATCATCCTCTACATTTCTAGCTTGAAACACAGGGTATTTGGTGCTGTGAATTTCTGAAATAGTGGAATACTGTAGGAGGAAACATGTTTGGAGGATGAAATGAAGATCTGGTTTTGTTAGTGGAGATGTAAGGCATGCAGTTGGATATGCCAAGTCTGAAGGTCAGAACAAAGATCTGGCCTGAAACTGGGAATTTGTTAATGGTCAGCACAAAAAGGGTGTTTTAGCCTTGAGAAAACCCAAGAGGATCCATGACTGAGACCTGAACAATGTCACCACCTACAGATTTAGTAAAGATGTCAACAAAATACAGACCAAAGTTCATATTAAAATTAATGGGAACAGTCAAACTACTTAGTGAGTGGTATTCAGTCAACTAGCATTTAGCTAGTTATTGGCTAGCAAATTTGGGGGAAAAATGTATAAAGAATCTTTGATTAGGTTTCCAAATATACAAAATAAAAGCCACTCACATGTTAGAAGTCAATATACAAAATTATATTATGTTAATGGTACTATTTAGTGCTAATAGAGAAAAATGAAAATTATTCTGAATTAAATCAATAGACAATGTATTTTCTATCGTTGTCTTTGTTTTCTTCTCAATTTATTTGTGTGTCATTTTAACTCACTAAGCAATGACTCCTCTTAATCCCATTACTTTTTATTTAACACTGCATTTGTTTTTCATGTGTACAATATCATACTGCCCAATAGAGAGGAAATGCAGAATTTGGGCTATTATATCAGAAACATCTTTGCTTTTCAGATTTGGACTTCTGGAGTGTGGTTAATTTAAGTATTCTCATCAGGCCTTGATATTTCAGATTTCCATAATCACTTCTCCAAAATAAACAATGTCTGAAGGTGATGACTACAATAAAATTAAAATTATACTGGCTTTTAAGATAATTATGTTTATGTAAATGTGACGCCTTTTTTGGGGGGGTGGGGTGGAGAAAAAGTTTTGCTCTTGTGGCCCAGGCTGGATTGCAGTGGTCTGATATTGGCTTACTGCAACCTCCACCTCATGGGTTCAACTAATTCTCCTGCCTCAGCCTCCCGAGTAGCTGGGATTCCAGGCACTTGCCACCATACCTGGCTAATTTTTGAATATTTAGTAGAGATGGGGTTTCACTATGTTGACCAGGCTGGTCCTGAACTTCTGACATCTGGTAATCTACCTGCCTTGCCTACCCAAGTGTGCAGATTACAAGCATGAGCCATGCCTCCTAGCCTTCAAATTACATTTTCATACACACTCACTCACACAATTTTTTGTAACTATCTGCATGTTCTCCTCAGGTGGGGGAAAAACAGTAACAGAGTTATTGAAGAATATATGAAAGAAAGAATAACAGTACTACACAAGGTTGAACCTATTCACAATACTGTATTTAGTGAATAAAAATATTACTTTTAAAATCCTACTACAGTATTCAGTAAATAAATAAAATATATTATTTCAGTAACTCTAAAATACATGTACATGAAGAAAATAGAACAAGCGTTCAAATACATAAAAAAACAAATGAGGCCAGGCATGGTTGCTCACACTTGTAAGCCCAGCATTTTGGTATGCCAAGTCAGGTGGATCACTTGAGGTCAGGAGTTTGAGAGCAGCCTGGCAAATATGGTGAAACCCAGTCTTGACTAAAAATACAAAAATTAGCTGGACATGGGGGCATGTGACTGTAATCCTAGCTCCTCAGCAGGCTGAGGCAGGGGAATTGCTTGAATCTGGGAGGCACAGTTTGAGGCGAGTGGAGATCCTGCCAATTCACTCCAGCCTGGATGACAGAGCAAGACTCCATCTCAAAACACACACACACACACACACACACACACACAGAATAACCAATGAAAATAAAAATTTTGTACTAGAAAAGGTACTCACAGCCAAACTCACATATCTAACAGAAAAAAAAAGTCCTTTAAAAATTCCACAAGAGGCAAATAAGAAAACAAATTTATCACCTTGCATATAAAGTTCAAATAATAAACTGAAGAGAACCACAGGAGAAAAAATTCAAAATTTACAAGTAAGTACTCTAAAAGAAGCTAAAAGTCACTCAAAAATTTTCGGATTCTATGTCTGTACATTGCAAACATGACCATAAAATTTGCCAGGAGCAGAACAATCAAAATGTATCTTAAAATTCAATAAACACTTCAAGTCTCACATAAGAATTGTAATGGAAAATGGATGCATCTGCAGTATTTCCATACAAATCTGAACAAACAGTATTTCTTCTTACTCATTGTTTCACTATTCCAAGAAAATAACTTCCATATTAATATTAGGGGATGTGACAAAGCAGGTCTTCATCATGATAAGTAACACTGGGTGTCCACACCAGTACTCAGGTGGGCCTTAATTCCCCACCAGTTTCCCTCCCTGGACACACACTGAAGGTCCCCAGCTATTTTGCAGTCTCTTCACATTTCCTCCCCTGTAAGCCCAGTGTGGTCCTTCAGATTCCCTGTGCAGTGGCCTCTCGTCTGGAGGAGTGGGCCAGTGTGAGTGAGGATGGCAGAGGGGAGTAAACATGTCAGGGGAGCCTGGGATCATTGTAACTGAAAATGATGGGCCTGGGAGAGCCATTCTGGGAGGACACAGAGACTGGCCCTGGGGGACATCTGTGTGGAGGGTGAGAGAGAGTGAGAGAGCCCAAACTGAGCACCAAGTGGTAGCCGGCCTCAGGGCAGGGAAAAGAGCGGGCAGGGATGATGAGACAGCTATCCCTTGAGCCTTGCTTCTCACCCACTGGCCTTAAACACTTATGCCCCTTAGGAGGCTTCAGGTGCCCCAATCCTAAAATGTGGGTGTTACAGTTCTCTGATGGCCATTTCTCCACCACCCCTTGAATGGCTTGGGATTGCTCACTGCAGTCACCTCCCTGAGGCTCAGATTCTCCATGTGGGGCACAACTCCAGGAATCAAAGGCCTCTCAGTCCCCAGCCCTAGACTGCTCACCTGACCTCCTCTCTGTTCCCTCTCTAATGGCCTCCCTCCATTGGAATGTACGCAGGGTATTGAGCACAGGCCCTGGCTGACGATCTGGGGGACTGCAGACGGGGCTACAGGACAAATCAGGTCATGGCTCAAAGCCAATTACCCAGAGGTGAAGGAATGACCAGCAAGGTTCTTTTCCATGATGCCCCACCATGGTGCCTACCTCAGCTATTCTGCCAGAACCTGGGCACCCATGGTCAGCCAACCAGCTGAAAAAGCTCAGGTAGGAGGTGTAACTGCCTGCAGCATTGACCTTCAGGATGCCACAACCACTGGACTGCAGTGGAATGAGATACCCTGTATCCTAGAGAGAGAGGAGACAGACAGGTTCATGCCAGACCCACCCTCCCATACTCCACCTCCCCTATTATGCTGGGAGGCCCTCCTTACAGAGGATGCCAACACAATATCCCTTAATGATACCTTCATTGTGGAAATAAAGGTTATGATGAAAGGAAAACTTCATCCTGCCACTGGTACTCAGGATGGCTGTGTTCCTCTCCCTACCTGGCCAAGAAGAAGAAAGAGGACGGACTCAAAGGACCATTTCATGTAGCTAGGCTGAGTTTCATGGAGTTTCACTGAGTTAGCTGGAGTGAAGAACGCGTTTCCCCTTTCCAGCTCTCCCGCTGAGACACCCCGCGGCCCCAGAGCGACCTCAAACTCACTCAGAAACTGAATCCCTCCTGCAGACCCAGGTTCCTTAGCCTGACCTACAAATCCGTCAAGTAGCTTAGGAAGACTGACTTCATTATCATTTGTGATCCTGGCCAACATCTGCGTGTGCCGCACAATCTGCCTCTGGTCAAGGAGCCGCCAGATGACTGGGTGGGCATGCAAGGAGACACCCTGCAACTTTGCAAGAGCACGGAGAGTGTGGGGCAGGGCTACCTCGCAGGACTTTGGTCTAGCACCTTCCCTTCCTGGTCCTTTGTCTCTGTCTGGCATGGGGGGCACCATCGCGGCTGTGGTGGTCTTGGCCGCCCAGACAGCGTGCTCTGACCAGGGTCAGACACAGAAGAAGTGGTCAGGGGGTTGTGGGCGGGGTATTGTGGTGTCAGGCGGCTACTTGCTCAGAGTTCCTGAGCTGCAGGAGGCCCTCGTGTGCTGGGTGCTGGACAGCTTCTGCTGCTGTCCGGATGTGCGCTCTCCCCTTCTCCTGGTCTCCCTGAGGGGTGGGCTTGTACACACGAGGGAACCTCTGTGGGTAGAAGTGGCTGCAGGGCTATGCCTGGCTCTCCCCATGGGGCTCGTGTGGGTTCAGGGGAGGTTATATATGCTCAGGGCCTACACGTCTTTGGGTGCAGTGCCGGGGGAGGGAAGAAATCCTGTCTTGGGAGCTGTTGCCTGCCTTGCAGGGTACAGCAGCCCTGTGCACTGTGAACCCAAGTCTTGAGCACCTTGTGTTTCTGGGGTGAGTCTGCTGGACACAGGCATGGGGAGCAGGAGTAGTTCCATGGCTGGCATGGGCATGCAGACTCCCTTTCCTGCAGGGACTTTCCCAGTGAAACCTGTCCTTCAACTTTCTGCTGTTTATGAAGGGTCCTTTGCGCTGTTATTCTCCCTTGTGTGTGTTGTGCTTGGCTTCCTGTTCTTACCACGTGCCCTCAGGGCACCCGCAAGCAAGCTGCCCTCCTATCTGCAGGAGCCTGTCCTCGGTTGCCATCCTTGTCCCCCAGCCCCTGAATCTTGCTGACCCCTGGTGCCTACCACCATGCTTCTCCCAAACCCTCTCCCGGGAGCTTGATGCCCACCCGCTGCTGCCAGCCACGCTGAATTGGCAGCTGCAAAGATATGGCTCTGGCCCAGAAGTAGGGGATGCCCTGCAGCCTGCGGCATTCACGGAGTCCAGCTCCAAGTGAAGGACGTCCAGAGAGTCTGTTGTGGGCCGTGGCGTACTGGGGCCTGGGCCAGGCTATGCCTGCTAGTCCTCCAACTGCCGCTCCACATTGGCCTCCTTGGTCACCACCTCCATCTCTGCCATGGTGTCATCCCCCACTGCCATGCCTCCTCCCGCAGGGTTGCCTCCCTGCTCTCACACAGTCCGCCCTCTCCTGCAGAGCCTAAAGCCTTAACACAGTGCCCTCCTTGAGGCTCCCACAGATTAAGGCCTGCACCCCCCATCTCACCTCCCTAGCACCCCTAGACTCTAGAGGAAGCTCCCGGAGGAGCCCGCCGGCCTAGCCCTGCTGAGAACCACGTCTCACACCTAGGTGTATACAGGGCTCCTGGGGAGCTCCTCAGGGCCCACAGCCTGCCGCGCTCTTCATGGGGCCCAGACACCCAGCAGGGTTACCTGCGCACAGTAGCCCTGGAGTCGGAGGCCGAGGCCCTGGGCTTCCAGAGCCCCGCTAGCAGGCACTACGGCTGCTACTGCTCTTGCAGGAGACTCTGCGCCAGCAAAGCAGTGCACATGGGTCATCGAATGGGGGACCATGGCGGCTGGCCTCCCGTGTGCCCAGGGCACAGGATGAGAGGTCCTTTGGAATGCCCCTGTGAGTAGAGTATCCTCAGGGAGGAAGTGTGGAATTCGGAGTCTGCATTTGCCTAGACCTGAGAGTCCTTGTGGGGTTTTGGCTTCTGGTGCAGATGAAATCCACCCCAGCAATGTACCAGTCGACTTTCCTCCCACGTACCAGCCCTGCCCAACCGCCCCCTAGCCACCACTGCTGCCCTCGCCCTAGCAGGCGGCTCTGGTCCCTCTCTCTCTCCTCTGGATCTGCAATATTCAGTACCATCAGCCTAGCCTGCCTAATGAAGTGAGGTGTTTCATGTGTTCCCTGTGGATCAATGTTTTGCCACACTCAGCATGCCAGTTAGGGTGTAGGCCTTCCATGCCCACAATTCCAAACGGCTCACAGTCCGCGTGTGAATGAATCCACCGCCGCGCGGCACAAGCAGCTTCTCAGGGGATGCTTACCAGGGGAGGCTGGAGCTGTGGGACAGGAAGGGGCGGGGCACCTCGGGAGACACCTACAGCCCTCGCAATAATTGGCCGATGCCCACCGCCCTTGCAATGATTGGCCACTGGAGGTAGGCAGGATTTCCGGGAATGGTTTCTCCCGTCCTTCCAGCTCAGGCCAGCTCCAGGTGTCCTTCCTGCAGTTGGCCCTGTAGTGTCCCAAAACAGGATGCATAGGACCAGAGGCCCGGATCCTGAGGCTGTTTGTCCTACTGAAAAGCACCTCCACTTTCTGTTTCTCTGGACAGGTTGGTCTCTCGGCAAGAATAGAAAGCAAACTTTTGGGATTTTGTCTGTAAAAGGGGATGGGTTTTCCATGTGCGGGTGTTGAATTGTGGGAGGAGACAATAGGGAAAGAACTCCTTAGTACTATTAACTCATTTTTGTTAAACTCACTGATTCTTCTTGAGGATTCTACCTTTAACTGTTGGATATGTCCGACAGGTGGGCAAGTTGCGGGAGATGGTGCTAAGGTGACATTGTTTTCATGTGCACTTTATATTAAAGTAGTTTTTCACTGTGAAATGTGCTCATCATTCAAAATACAGGCAATATACTTAACCACTGCAATTAAAAACTTATACTTTTCGTCAGCACATGTCACATGTCTGATTTGCTTGGAAGGAATTATCAAATTTTGACATAAATTGTGTGACTTTCATGTATGTAGAAATGTGGGGCCATAAATAATCTCAGTTTAAATTTGCCTCTGTAAAAACTGTAATTGTCTTCTTCCTTGCATGACAGTATTTGAAACATGTTTCAGGTATCTCTGGCAGCGTAAATAATTTAAACTAAGTAAGTGGATGTAATCAAGATAAATGGAGTTAGATAGCCTAAAACGGGAACAAAATAAATGCGCTTAAGTTATTCTATTAACCTGGCACACTGACTTACTCTTGTAAACCTGCCATTTTGGGAAGAGGAGGTGTGAGGATGGTTTGAGGTCAGGAGTTGGAGACCAGCCTGGGTAACATAAAGGGCTCCTTTAATATATTGCCATTTTTGCAATGGGGATCAGTTTAGTGGGAGACAGTTTTTCCTCAGACAAGGGTTACACAGGGGAAGAAGGTGGCAAGGTGGACACCTTTGGCAGTGGGGGCTGGCAGCAGGGCCCGGAGGGGCACGTGGTGGGGCTGGGCTTCCAGTGGGAGCAGTGTGACAGAGGGCGGGTGGGGCAGCGGGGCTGTCACAGGGACAGGGTGGGGCAGCAGGGGAATAGGGAGGATGGTTTCTGGATAAAACTATACTACTTCAGGTCATCCTCAAGCTTTACATTCTCCACAGACAGGTATTACAGGTCATCCTCAGGCATTACATTCAGGCCACAGACAGGTACAGGTTGAAGACCAAGATTTGGGAATCCTTAACCTATTGTATATTTCAAATTACTAAAAGATGGTAAACTATTTAAAGTGTTCCCCCCTAAGAACATTTTAATTAGCTTGATTTAATCTTTTATCCAAATATCATTCTGGGTGTGGTGGTTCACCCTTGAAATCCCATAACTTTGGTAGTCCCAAGACAGCAGATCACTTGAGCCCAGGATTTGGAGGGTTTGGGCAATATGGGGTAACCAGTGTCTATTAAACACACACACACACACACACACACACACACACACACAAATTGCCCATCTCTGGTAGAAAGCCCCTGTAGTTCCAGCTATTTGGGAAGCTGAGATGTGGGAGGATAGTTGAGGTGGGGTGGAGGAGGCTGCAGTAAATAGTGCACTCTGGCCACAAGAGATATACATCTCAAGAAAAAAAAATACACAAAATATCACACTGTACCTCATAGATATATAGTTTTCAAAAAAATTATTTAAATGGGGGCATCTTTCATATTGCAACTTAGGAAAATTACAATAGCTTTGCTTATCTAATGTTTAGAAATGAGATTTTGTGAGGTACATATTAAAATGCATCATTTGTCCATGAAGTCATTGCCCCATTTGCTCTAGATGTTACAAATTTTACATATTTAAAGTAAGAAATACTAAAAAGATGTCAGCCTCTGGAAGGGAATTTTACTTGAGTTTTCAACACAGTATGTAACAAAATTTTATCTTTTTAGCTTATTTATTTTTATCTAATTATAGATAATTTTTTACCACCTACAGTACAATGGCAGAAGCAGATCATCCCAGCAAGCTTTTCATTGGTGGCCTCAATAGACAAACCAATGAAAAGATGCTTAAAGCAGTATTTGCAAAACAGGGTCTCATATCTGAAGGTAACACTTAAAACTGTGTGTGTGTGTGTGTGTGTGTGTATTTTCATAGGTATACTTCAATATGTATATTTAAAATATGTTATATGTTTTGAAAAATATATTTTTTTCAAAGTTCATTGTATGCATACACTAAAATGCTTTATCATTTTTAAATTCTTACTTTGAAGTTTCTGTTTGATATTTGGAAAATCTCATAGCACCAGATGAAGGGTTTGTGGTAAGGATCACCTACTACTTAGAAAGGAAAATGAGGAAAAGTAAATGTGTTGTGGAGTTCAGGAACAAACTGGAATAAAATAGGCTGACTATAGGGGTGACTTAGTATTAAGAATCATAGCAGTGATGTGAAATGCAGTTATTTTTTGGTTTGATGTAATTTTCAGATAGTACCTTGGTGATTCCATTATATAAATGTAAAATGTTTTCATATGTTTTAATTCTTTTGTTAAAGGATTGAACCAGCAAGTCCAGAGGCTTTGTGTTTATTATTTTTGAGAAAAGTGCAGATGCTAAGAATGCTGCCAAAGATATGAATGGAAAGGTAAGTTTCCCTTATAAATAATATTCTAATGCTGTTCTTCAATTAACAGAATTTCCATGTATTTTTATTATTACTAAACTTTTGAAGGTTATAAATGCCATCTGAACCAAAATGCTTTAGCCATGTTCTTCTTTTTGCCATATACATGCAAGTGTAGTTTGAAGGGTATTGGAATAAACATTATATAAATTAATATATGATAACCTTTTTCTATGTTTTTATTTCTATAGATAGATTTTTGAAGCTTTTGAAGATCTTTAAAACTTAGAAGGAATCCTCATGTGAATGAAAGGAATAAGTCAATATTTATTAAATGCTATTAATGGAATTACATCCAATTCATGGAAATACTCCTAGAGCATAGACAAACTGTGGATAGACATCTAGACAGACTCACAAAAAGGAAAGATTCTCTCCCACTTTCTGAAAATATATTTTTGAGAAAGTATATTTAAATAAGACCTTTATATTTATGGAAGTGTCAAGTACTTGAAAATAGAAAATAATATGAGAACATTGAAGTTGGATAACAGAAGAAGTAACTGGCATTTTTGCCTCATCCTTGCTCTCTTCTCCTAAGGACTTTTTTTTCCTGTCACCAGAGTGATTTATGTAACAGGAATACCTAATAACTCATTTTTCCCAGTGTGTTTGAGGACTTGTTTTGATCCAACCAATGGTCTCTTGTCCTACTGAGTCTTAAATCTAGGGATTGTGTGTTTACTAAAGCTTTAAACTTTCATATAATTCTATTAGCTATTGAATTCTTTTACATGGTAGTCAACATCCTTCCATTCTGGGCCCTTTAGAGGTTTTTTTTATTTATAACATTATCCCAGTCAGGCAGGGCGTGGTGGCGCAAGTCTATTATTCCAGCACTTTGGGAGGTCCAGGTAGACGGATCATGAGGTCAGGAGATGGAAACCATCCTGGCCAACATGGTGAAATCCCATCTCTACTGAAATACAATAAAATTAGTTGGTCAGGCTGGTGTGCACTTGTAGTTCCAGCTACTCAGGAGGCAAGGCAGGGGAATCAGTTGAACTCAAGAGGCAGAGCTTGCAGTGAGCCGAGATCAAGTCACTGCACTCCAGGCTGGCAACATAGCGAGACTCTGTCTCAAAGAAACAAAAAGTAATCATAAATAACATTATCCCAATGTGTTTTTAGCTCCTGTTACTCTCTATGCTATCCCCCAAATGCTTTTTTGGACTCCTTGAGAATTATCCTTCCCCGTGTATGTCTAAAAATAACAATTTATGCTTCAAAGAAACCCCTTAAATTTCATATTTTCTTCCTCATTGCATATCGTAGGTATTTTATACTCACTGTATCATGTATTAAACTATTGATTGTTAAATTGTCTATAGTGCATATTTAAGTCTTTCTAGTTGTTTTTATTTCTATTACATCTAGCACACTTCCTGGCACATAGAAGAAAGTACATTTTTATTCACTCTTATAAATTAGTAGTTTTTCTTTTTTTTTGAGACAGAGTCTTGCTCTGTCACCCAGGCTGGAGTGCAGTGGCACGATCTCATCTCTCTGTAAGCTCCACCTCCTTGGTCCACGCCATTCTCCTGCCTCGGCCTCTCCAGTAGATGGTACTACAGGCGCCCGCCACCACACCCAGCTAATTTTTTTAGTTTTTAGTAGAGACAGCTTTTCACTGTGTTAGCCAGGACAGTCTTGATCTGCTGAACTCGTGATCCACCCACCTCAGCCTCCCAAAGTGCTTGGATTATACAGGCGTGAGCCACCACACCCAGCCTCACTCATAAATTAGTATTTTAAGCTGTGGTAAAAACTGAGAGTGGCTTTTGGTTCATAGCTTTGTGGTAGGTATGGAGATAATTTTGACTTAGGCACAGTAATCTATGATAATTTCTTTTTTCCTCCTATTTTTTGAGCACAAGAGCAGGTAATTTGTGTAGCATTTGTTAGTTTGTTTGTTTGTTTATTTTTTAGGACAGTCTCGCTGTGTCACCAGGCTGGATTGCAGTGGGGCAATATTGGCTCACTGCAACCTCGGCCTCCTGGGTTCAAGTGATTCTCCTGCCTCAGCCTCCTGATTAGCAGGGACTACAGGCACACACCACCAAGCCCATCTAATTTTTTACTTTGAATAGAGACGGGGTTTCACCCTGTTGGCCAGGATAGTCTCTATCTCTGCACCTCGTGATCCACCCGCCTAGGCCTTCCAAAAGTTTTGGAATTATAAGCATGAGCCACTACACCTGGCCAATGTTATTTCTAAATTACTTCCCCTCACATATTTTACTGTGTAAAAATTAATTTGAATGTTACATGCACATAAATGTTAAGATGGCCAGTAAAGGAGGTTCTTAGAGTTTTCAGGGGGAATTAACAGTTTAAGGAATTTTGGATGACTTTGGAACACTGGGAAGGAAGCAGCCATGCAGAAATCTAGGGAAAATATTTTGGGCCCAGAAATAACAAAAAAAGTTCCATGGTAGGAGCAACTGGCGATGTGGCTGCAAAAGGTCCTATAAGGTATTTAATATCTTCCCCCAAATAACAAAAGCCATGCAGTTTTTAAATCAAGTTCTTAGCTGAGCTGTTTTCAAAAATTAGAGTGGCCTACAGAAAAGAGTACACTGAAAAATGTTATTGTGAAATTAATTAGAACATTTAAGGATTTCTGAGAAATTACATGGAGTACTGTATTAAGAGTCATTTTTTATGGACAAGTCTAAGACAAAATAAGAAATGAGTAAGGCAAGAAACCTTAATAAGACCAAACAAGGATCATATTTATAGAAACATTTCTAGAGTAAATATATAATTGTAAATCATATGGGGGTATTTTATGTAAGTATTAGCAGATCAAACAAGAAACAACTCATAATGAATAATGTGACTAATCACTTTGAATAGGTAACCTCACTTTTTTAAATGACACAAGTTTCACTGCGACACTGAAAGTTTTAAATCAGTGTTGTGAATACAAAGATGAAGTGGATTATAAATGTGCCACATTATTTCATAGAATGTGTGATAGGTTAATCTTTTTTTGTTTGAGGTGTTTTTGTTTTAATAATGGAGGAGTTTTCAAGGAATTTGAATAATAACATTTGTGTTTGGTTCCATAATGGAAGGCATGTGCTCAGTAAATATCTCAAATTTGGCATTGAGAAAGATGTGTTCATTTTAGGAGAAAAAAAGGTTGTTTTGGGTGAAAATATATAGAATTGAATTATAGTTGATGTAAAACTGTTAGTAAAATGTGCTTAGGTTAAACGTGCCAATGTTATTGATAGTACCCTTAATACTTTTAGTCTTTTGATGGAAAGGCAATAAAAGTAGAACAAAGCCAAAAACTATCTTTTCAAAGTGGTGGTAGGTGGAGACCACCACCTTCAAGAAACAGAAGCCCTTCAGGAAGTGTGAGATCTGCAAGAGGAAGTAGTGGAGGAACAAGAGGGTGGCTTCCCTCACATGAAGGACACGTGGGTAATGTTTTAAAATATAAAGATGGAACCATAGGACTGAAAGAAAATAAGTTTGAAGATACTGGAATTTCTCAATTTTTTTTATTTCCTTTATGAACAGAAAATTAACATGATAAGCAAAATTATTTCTAAGTACTAAAGTGTATTATAAGAACGATTAAACTAATATCTAAAATTTGTTTTAACATTGTAATAACTTTGCATTAAAATAACACAAATTTTAAACTGAACTGAGTTTATGAATGCTGATTGCCTGTACTCAACAGGTTTTCTGCAGAATTCATTTATATTCATTATACTTTAGAGTTTTCTAATTTGAGGCCCAGAACTTCATATCAGTTGTATTATCAAAATATGATGGAATATTTAAAACTTTCCAACAGGAAAAAAGTAACTCAGTATTTAAGATTGATTTTGCAGTATTTGTTTTATTTATGTATACATGTGCAAATATCTAAGCAAATCTATTGCTTTGTAATTTCGATACAGGGAGTTTGTACATTGGCCTGCCATAAAGCATTTTCAATTTAAGAAATGCAGAAATTTAATTTCTGAAAAGAGTCTGCTACTCTGGAAAGGTCTAAACACCACTGCTTCACAGATATGTATGTTTCTTTCTTTGCTGGAGGGTTAATCACTGAAAATGATATTTATTTGTGATTTACACAATAGAAATCAGGGGTCAATTTTTACATAAAAAAGAAAAACAAACCACGTATTTAAAAAAAGAAAAAAAAACTATTAGATGGGGTGGGCAAGGTGGCTCACGCCAGTCATCTCAGCACTTGGGGAATATGGGGCGGGTGGACCAAGAGGTCAGGAGTTCCAGACCAGCCTGGCTAACATGGTGAAACCCTGTCTCTCCCAAAGATACAAAAAATTATCCTGGTGCGGTGGTGTACACCTGTAATCTCAGCTACTCAGGGGGCTGAGGCAGGAAAATTGCCGGAACCTGGGAGGCAGAAACTACAGTGAGCTGAGATCACACCATTGCACTCCAGCCTGGGGGACAGGGCAAGAGTCCTTCTCAATAAATAAATATATAAATAAACAAACAAACAAGCCTATTGGTTAACTTGTATTATGTATTAACCAAGCTTCAAAAATCTAACATTTAAGTTTGAGTTTTAATAACCAGATGTATAATTAATTGGAGATTTTTTAAAAAGTTGAAATTACAGTGTTTGCTCCATTTTAAGATGTATAGCTTCATGGTTACTTTGTCTCTATTCGTCTTGAGGGTGAGGTTAAATAATACTCTGCCATGAAGGAGAATGTGCATAGTCTAACCTGAAACACCACCTGGAAATTGGAATATATCTACATTTTTGGTAGATATATAAAAATATTTATATATTATTCAATGTGCAATTCTTAAAGATTATTAAAATTTAGCATAGTCTAATCTGAAGATTAGTGTTTTGTAAGAGAATCGTAAGAATTCTATATTATATTAACAATTTTTAGTGATAATGTATTTTCCTGATGTGTCACGTTTTGATATTGTAAATATTTAAATTTCTTTGAATGGAATTTAGTTTATGATATGCTTTGAAAATTTTTCCTCATAACAGAATGATATAAACAGTCATTTTTCATTTTTCTTTTAGTATTTTTATGTATATTATACTTAGATATTTTACTGATAGATTTCTGCTCTGTGTTCACTTCCCACTTTTCCCACATCTCTGTCTCTCACCAACATATTATGATTCTTGAGTTTCTTTCTAGATTTTCTAAATGGACTTTTATTGCATGAATTGCACTAATTTCATATAGAAATGTTAATTTTATTAGTTTAGATAAATATGAATTTGTAAGATTTTAATATGTAGAAAACCTTTATAAACAACCAAAACTTAGCCATTTAAGAAACAGTGATGTTAGTCAACTAAAAAGATTTTGTTTGAAATACACATGATGGTGGATACACTCTTGATTTCAACATGAGTTCTTCTAGGGGACCCATTCCAATTAAAAGAAGTCCATCTTCAAGAAATGGAGGTCCTCCTCCTACAAAATCTGCTCCTGTGACAAGAAGCAATAGTCGGATGGGAGGCCAAGGTAAATGCTACCTGATAAAAAGACTGTATTTTTTGTATGAATAAAAATGAGTTATTTTACCTGTCTGCTTAATTTTAAGTTCATCAAACAAGAGAAGTGACACATACATGGGCATAATTACAGATCGATAACTTTTATTATAGTTTCTATCTCACTAAGTACATTTCAGATTTATGGTGAAAATATACTTGAGCCTCTCATTGCAGATCGACGAAGTGATTGGATTGAGGCTGACATTCCTTTTCATCCTGTGTTGCTAGCAGATTCATCTTAATTTTTCTAAAAGCTCCTAGAAGTATTCTTTGATGGTAGGTTTCTTCATCTAATGAATTCTTCCATTTTCTAGGTCCCCTGGTAATGGTCCCCTGGTGTCCCAATCTAAAAATTGCTTGTTACATTTGTTTGTTGGATTGGAGTCTTGCTCTTACGAGGTCAGAGTGCATAGGTGAGATGATGGCTTACTACAGCCTCAAATTCCTGGACTCAACTAATTTTCCCGTTTCAGCCTTCAGAGTTTCTGCAACCACCAGCATGCACCACCACACCTAGCAAAAATTTTTTTCCTGTATTTTTGTAGAGAGAGGATCTCACTATATTGTCAAAACTGACCTTAAAGCCCAGGGATCAAGCAGTCCATCTGCCTCAACCTTCCACACTAGCTCATAGTGTGAGCCGCTGAGCATGGCCATCCAGCTTCTGAGAATTCAATAATGCTTATGTACAAGGCATTCTTACAGCTTATATAAAGACTCAAAAGAAATACAAGAGCATTGGGCAGAAAAGGCATCCCTGGGTTTAAATATTTTTTAAATATAAATTTAAGGCTTGAAAGGTAGACATGAAGGAGTCCAATATTCGTAAATTAACTGGATATCACAGTAGTGCAGAGTTGTGAAATATAAGGGGAAGTGAAATCAATAATTAAGATTGTACCTGAAGGACTATAAATCATGCTGTTATAAAGACACATGCACACGTATGTTTATTGTGGCACTATTCACAATAGCAAAGACTTGAAATCAACCCAAATGTCAAAAAATGATAGACTGGATTAAAAAAATGTGGCACATATACACCATGGAATACTATGCAGCCATAAAAAATGATGAGTTCATGTCCTTTGTAGGGACATGGATGAAATTGGAAATCATCATTCTCAGTAAACTATCACAAGGACTAAAAACCAAACACCACATGTTCTCACTCATAGATGGGAATTGAACAAGGAGAACACATGGACACAGGAAGGGGAACATCACACTCTGGGGACTGTTGTGGGGTGGGGGGAGGGAGGTGGGTGGGTTAGCATTAGGAGATATACCTAATGCTAAATGACGAGTTAATGGGTGCAGCACACCAGCATGGCACATGTATACATATGTAACTAACCTGCATATTGTGCACATGTACCCTAAAACTTAAAGTATAATAATAATAATAATAATAATAATAAAGAAAAAAAGGAGATTGTACCTGGATGTTTAAACATTAACACAAGATCCTTAGTGCAAGAAGTGAAATTGTTTGAGGAGAGAATTTAGAACTAAGCAATATGATGTGAGCGGTAGGACTGAATAGAAGTAATATTTTGAGAAGGAAAATTGTAAGATTGCAGACTGTACAGAAGAAAGCAAGACAATAAATTAAATTTCCTAGTAAAGAAGCTTAAGCAGAACTAATTAAAATTCTTATTTAGTCCTCCATCCCAATATGGAGGAAATTGAAAACTGCCATTTTCAACTTTACATTTCATATGTAGAGTATTGGTGAAGTTAGGTATTTATCAACTTCAAGATACATAAGCCAACATATTTCCATTGGAAAATTAGCCAGTGAACATATCATAGGTGAAAGACTGACCTCTAAGAAATAGCACATGAAGAGTATATTACAGGAGAACCTTTTCTATTTTGAAATAGCAACAATGTTGTAATCTCCCCTTTAATAGAATTGCTTATTGCAATAAAATAAATCTTGGCCATCATTAGAATATCTTCTCTAGTACATTTTAATTTGTCAACATTTAAAATAAAGCCAACCACTTAGAGATAAAGGAGAACTTTTATGTAAAAATTTAGCATGGAGTTGTTCAAAGGTGGCAGTGTTTGTGTGTGAGATGAAGTAAACAAGGGAAAATTTACCTTCTTCAGCTGAGAAAGGACAATGTACATAAACTTTAAAATCAGTGAAGAGTTTGATGGTTTTACATTTGTCCATGTGCCATTAGTAGTAATCAGTAATTCATATGAAAAGGAAAATAATAACTAAGGAAAAAGGAAAATAATAACTAAGTAGTTATTAACCATTACAAATGAACTTTTACCTATGAATTAATGTTTGGCTTCAGCTTCCTTAGAAGAATTGGCCTTGCAGGAGCCATGAGATTATCCAAAGCCATAAGAAATATTCACAGTATCATGACTGTCTAGCGATTTAAGGAATGAGGAATGGAGACATAGAAGAAATAATTTTAAAAAGTTGCTTGAGAGAAGAGAAAATAGTGTTTCAGAAAATAGTGTTCTTTTCATAATGTTCCATCATTTTTAATATTAAAGGTCCCATATCATATGGAAGAGAGAATTATGGAGGTCCTCCATGCAGAAAGCCAATCTCTTCCTGGCAAATAACCATATGTCACCAAGAGATGACGGTTATGCAACTAAGGATGGGTAAAGGAAAAATTTTTAAAAAACAGTTGATTGTTTTTGTGGTGATGAAATTCACATAACAAAATTAAACATTATAAGGTAAACAGTTAAGTGGCATTTAATACATTCTGTGTCACACACCAACTACCTCCATCGAGTTCCAAAACATTTTCATCACTCCAAAATAAACCTCCAACTACCAGTTAAGCAGTCCCTTCCATTTTTTCCCTTTCCTCAGCTGCTAGCAAACACCAATCTGTGTTCTAACTCTGAACCCCTGGTTGGGAGCATTTAATGTTAATGGGCTCAAACACTACACACTTTTCACATCTGTGATGTCCTGAAGATTCATTTACATCACAGCACTTTACTCCTTCCACAAGCTGTTAACCCATTATTTTATTTGGGTTGTTTCCATGGCAGTATTTCTACGCACTAATATTTGTTTGAGTATGCTTATTCAATTCTGGGTGTATGTGAGTGGAATTGCTTGGTCCTGTGATAATTATGTTTGTTTTCTTGAGGAACCACCACATTTCTCCATAGTAGCTGCATCATTTTCCATTCCAACTAGCATTGTATCAGGGTTCCAATTTATTTACATCCTATCAAACACTTGTTATTTCCTGCTTTTTAAAATTTATTGCCATTCCAGTGTGTGTGTGAAGTATGGTATCTCATTTGGGATTTGAAATGCGTTTTCTGTATGACTGATTATGAGTATCTGTTCCATGTGCTTTTCAGGTGTCTATTTTATATGGAGAAATATCTATTTAGATGTTTGGCCTTTTAATTTTGTTTAAGTTGTAAGTTAGTTATGTTTTGGATACTAGAAGTTGAAAATTTAAAATTTGTTTAGCTTAAACTTATGCACACAGAAATCATCCAAGTTCCCCAGAAACCAGGGATTATGCTCCACCACTTAGAGACTATGCATACCATGATTATGGTCATTCTATTCAGGTTGAACATTCCTCTAGAGAATATAGGTACTATAAGGTTTTCCAGATTTGTCAAATAGATTTCTTAAATTGTTTATTCTAGCATTAAGAAAACTTTTTTTTTCCAATTTAGTGATCAGGATGGCTATGGTGAGGCCCGTGGTAGAGATCATTCTGAACATCCAAGTGGAAGTTCTTACAGAGATACAATTCAGAGATATGATGAGGGTCCAGGATGGATTCATAAATTATAGAATTATATTTATTAGATCAGATCATTATTTTAATGAACTTCTAAGGAAAATTATAAGGGACAAATATAACGATTAAATATTGAATATTGTTAACAGTATAAAGCATATTAAATGATATGAAGGTGAGAACTTCACTTCGTGTTCAGAAAATGTGACTCAACCTTTACTTTAGGATTAAATTTGTTAAGCTTCAAAATGCTACTCTTACACTTCTTTTAAATAAAACTTCTGACTATTGCAGGCATAATTAATATCCTGCAACAAAGGCAGAGGAAAACAGATATTTCCAAATAGTACTTTAACTAATTCATGCTTTAGTGGTAGCAGTAAAAATGTTTGGATGTAGTCCAACATATTATTTTATCAACCCTGCAGGGACCTCTCATGGTGCACCACCTGCACAAGGGCCTCGGATGTCTTATGGTGGAAGAAGCCGCCATTATTATAACAATACACGAGATAGATATAGCAGAAGTCGGAGAGTTACTCAAGACACTGTGGTGATTTTTATTCCTGTTTTCATGAGCACGTTGGCAGAAAAGACCAAAGGAATCTAATTTCTCTGGATAGAGTGCACCCTGCTCCTCGTGAAGCATATGGTAGCTCAAGTTATGTGGCATCTACAGGAGATGGTAAGAGAAGCTGATCTGAAAAAGGAGACTGAAGTAGATATTAAAGCAAGTATTCAAAATAATAGTTATTGCATACCAAACCTTCTTTGCAAATCGAAAATTGAAATGTTATTTATTCATTGTTACCTGCATACCACTCAAAGCAACATGCTGGTTTTGTGGAGAGACATAGATACTTACTCCATAATTTTTCTGAGATATTCAGAGGAAAAGGAATTTTTTTCAAAGTAATTTCATACTTGTTAATGCTATTTGGAAACTCTTTGTTTAGATGTAATATCTGCATTAAAATTTTCATAAAGAAATTTTACATGTAATGCAAAATGCCTGATGTTACTGCTTAGCTACACATGCTTAAAAGCAAATTGAATAGGAGAGTAAATTGTGTTGTTTTTGAACATATTCCTTTGTTTCTTCGAACATAAGTAGATACAAAATCAAGCATATGTTATGTCTCCCTTGCAAGCTGCATAAGTTTTCTAATTATGCTGTGTTTCTCTTTAAAAAATTACAAGCTTAAAATGTTTGAGAAATCTTCAGAAGGACTACACAACTGTCTGCCTCACCATATAACATTTATCTTTTAGAGGAATATTACAGGTCAAAGGAAATAATTAGATGTGGTTGATATTAAAGTTTAAGACATCTGGAACATTCTACATGAAGGATTCTGTGACTGAAGGGGGATATTGGGAATGAAAACTTTTTTTTTTAACCTAAATCAAAACTGAACCAATTAAGTTTCTCAAGTGCATAGCATAATGAAATTAAATGTTCCTACTTTAAATAGTGGAACGTATGTGTTTTGTCTTGAGAGTTATGCATGTTAATTTTTTCTTGAAAGATTTGACAATGGATACTATAAGTAACGGTTTAGCAATAAGTTCTTACAAACAGGAATAATCTAGTATAGTTGGGATTTTATCAATTTTTTTTTGAGATGCAGCGTAGCTTTGTTGCCCAAGCTGGGGTGCAGTGGCTCGATTTTGGCTTACTGCAAACTCTGCCATCTGGGTCCAAGCTATTCTCCTGCCTCAGCGTCCTGAGTAACTGGTATTAGATACGTGTGCACCATAGCTGGCTAATTTTTTGTATTTTTAGTACAGACAGCATTTCACCATGTTTGCCAGGCTGTTCTTGAAATCCTGACCCACCTCCTCAGACTCCCAACGTGCTAGGATTATAGGCATGAGCCACAACTATCAGCCGATCAGATTTATTTGAAGATGCGAATGTGAACGTTTTAGACCTCATACTTTTGGAAAGTGAAGTATATAAAACATAAAACAACAGCCTAAAGTTTCAGACAGGGGATTGCTTAAAGGTTTAATAAATCATCAAATGATAAAAAAAATAAAATATTTGTACCCAAATAACTAAACCAATTAATTTTTCTGATTATCCAACCTAAAGAAATGAAATATATGAAGTTCTAGAAGTTTTACAGTCCATCATTCTTACAATTAACAGACTATTCTGCAAGGACAAAGTATTTTCTTGGCAAAATTTTAATAAGATCATCAATTTTTATAGGGTAAGGGTGCAAATAATTTTAAAGGGAGAAGTTACCAACTTTGATTTTCAAGTGAGTTATTCATGTTATGAAGTTGTGTTTTCATTCATCTACAATGTAGCATTGTGAGGATGAAGTAAAAAGATAAATTCCCTAGTCTTTTGTATGTTACTGTCCAGGTGTGATGGCTTAGTTCTTTAATTGCAGCACATTGGGAGGCCAAGGCTTGCAGATCACTTTAGGTCAGGAGTTCAAGACCAGCCTGGCCAACACCATGAAACCTATCTCTACCAAAAATACAAAAATTAGCCAGCCATGTTGGCCCACACCTGTAGTATGTTACAGCTAATTGGGAGGCTCAGACAGGAGAATCATTTGAACCTGGGAGCCTGAGACTGCAGTGAGCCCATATACAGTCTAGCCTGAGTGACAGAGCAAGACTCCAACTCAAAAATAATTATATAAATCAACAAATATGTAGATAATCTGGTATCCTTCAGTTTAAGCACTTATCATTTCTTTATTATTTTTAGAGACAGGGTTTCACTATGTTGTCCAACCTGGACTGCAGTGTCACCATCGTAGCTCGCTGCAGCCTTGAACTCCTGTGTTGAAATGTGTGAGCCTTCCATTTCAACCTCCCAAGTAGCTGGAATTACAGGCACACATCACTGAGCCCAGCTTTTGTGTTTGTGTGTGTGTGTGTGGTAGGGACAATGCTTCGGATATATTGTTCAGGCCGGTCTGAAACTTCCAGGCTTAAGTGATCCTCCTTCCTTGGCCTCCCAAAATGTTGTGATTATAGTTGTGAGCCTCTGAGAGTGGCATATCATTTGTTGGTATGAGTGACATTCCATCTTCACTCTTTTAATTCTTTTGAAATATACAATAAGTCATTGTTAAATGTAGTCATCCTATGCTGCTGAACACTAGACCTCATTCCTTCTAAGCAGCCATAATTTAACCCACCCCCAATCCCTCTTTGATCCCTTCCTTACCAATACACATTACTTGTATCAAAATATCGCATGATATTGCCGAAAGTATCTACAACTGTTGCGTACAAATTTTTTTAAATAAGTAAAAAAATAATAATAAAGGGTATATCCACAAGGTGACAAAATAGGAGGCTCTAATTTGTTCCTCCACACAAAAATGCAACAAATAAAAAGCCACAACCACATCAATTTCCTGTGAGACAAACGCAGAAACCAGTTAAGATACACACGTAGAATTATGAAAATACTCACTTAAAAGAGGTAAGAAAAATTGAATAATAATTTTTTTCTAGAGTTTATGTCTGATACAGTGCCCTTGAATGAATAGGGAACTGTTATTTCACAGCTCCTCTCAGAGGACTGAAGTATTAAACCACATATGTAGTACTCCACCTGTTACATCTGCTTCTCCATGAAATGATTCCTAGCTTGCCATTCTCTGGATTCTAACACAGACTGGCATTTATAACTCTCATAGGACCTCCAAGATGAAAGAGGGATTGAAATAGACATTCAAGAACTTCCGAAACTGTTTCCTCCTGGCTTACTGGATCTCACGCAGTCAAGAAAGCTCAGCTCCCACTTTGTACCTCTAAGAACTTAGTTTGTACATCTAACTTCTTGACATTTTTTTTCTTTTTTGTTTTGATACGGTGTCTTGCTCTGTTGCCCAGGCTGAAGTGTAATGGCACAACCTTGGCTCACTGCAATCTCCCCGCCTCCCAGATTTAAGCAATTCTCCTGCTTCAGCCTCCTGAGTAGCTGAGATTGCAGGCATCCACCACCATGCTCAGCTAATTTTTGTATTTTTAGTAGAGATGGGATTTCAAGATGTTGGCCAGGCTGGTCTTTAACTCTGGACCTCAGGTGATCCACCCATCTCAGCCTCTGAAAGTGCTTGGGAGTACAGGAGTGAGCCACTGTGCCCAGCCTTTTCTTCAGCTTTAATATCATCTAATTTTGAAAACATTAGCAATTAAATTGTTATTTTCTTTTTTCTTTTCTTTTCTTTTTTTTTTTTTTGAGAAGGAGTCTCACTCTTTTTGCCCAGGCTGGAATGCAATGGTGCCTTCTCGGTTCAACACAACCTTCACATCCTGGATTCAAGCAATTCTCCTGCCTCATCCTCCTAAGTAGCTGGGATTACAGGCATGCACCACCACACCCGGCTAACTTTGTATTTTTCATACAGATGGTGTTTCTCCATGTTGGTCAGGCTGGTCTCAAACTGCCGACCTCAGGTGATCTGCCTGCCTCTGCCTCACAAAGTGTTGGGATTACAGGCATTAGCCACCATGTCCAGCCAAAATAATATTTTCAGTGTGCATTTCTCTGATCCTTGGAGGAGGTTGGGCAGCTTTGTCTACGTTTGTGATCTTTTTCTTCCCCCTGTGGATTGCTGTATTCTGTCATCTTCAGTATTTTGCTCTTTAGTTAATTTGGTTAGTCATCATCACAATGTTACATTGAAAACTGCTAATAGTTGTGTGATAATGGCAAGCTTCTTCCCCCAGACAAATTTTAGGGTCAATGATACTAGACTGGCTTGACCACCAAAGTGTGCTTTGAGAACTGTAATGGAATTACAGGAACTCATGTCTGGAAAGAACAGAATTCTAGCTGTCATTTAGTCCTACCCAACCACCTGATGTGTAAACCTTGTCTTCAAAATCTTAGCCAAATATTCAACTTCAACTGTCTGCCTCCTGAGACACTCCACTCCATCTGTAGATAATTCTGTTGATTATAACAGCCTTGCTTGTATTAAACCAGATCTTGTCTCCCTGTATTTTCTACCCTCTGTCTCCAGCCTTAGAGAACAAATTTACCTCCTCTTCCACGTAACAGCCACGTATATAAACTGATACGTAGTAACAGTTTATATAATAATTGAAGTCATCTTTTCTTCATGTTAAACATGCTGGTTCCCATAAGTTATCCTTATATGTTGAGATTCTGAGGGTCTTTTCAGTCACTTTGTGATCACAGTCTGTTGAATGCTTACTAGTTTATCCCTTTTTAAAAAATGTATCACTGAGTTCAGTGTCTTAGGGTGATCTGAATAATAATAATAACTAATAATAATGGTAGCTAGCCTTTATTGAGTATCAAGTACTTTGCCAAGTACTTTACTTGTATTAATTAATTTAATCCTTACAACATGACAAGGAGTGTGGAATTTGAATCCCCATTTGGACAATGAGGAAATTGAGGCATATGGAAATTAAGTAATTTACCTGTAACTGCACTCAGTGGAGTGGAACTAGAATTTCTCCTATTACAGTTATCATATTTCAGTGTATATGTGCCTAAGATTATATGATTTTTAACTCCTAATTGATTTATATTAACTATCTACTCAAACTCCCAAGTCTTATTTGAATGTATTACTGGTAAGCCACTACTTCCCATCTTGTACAGTTGAGTTCTGAAGCCAAGTCCAGGACCTGAAAAACTACACTTAACCTCACTGAGTCTATTATAGTTTGTAGCCCACAGTGCTTTTCAGACATCTTGCTTATCCAGTTTTTCTTCCCTGATATAGTTAGCTGGCTCTCTTCTCTTCTGGTAGTGATTGACTTCACATTTGACACTGTCATCTACAAACTATATACTACATGTTTTCATCTTAGCTGTATGTGGATGAGTTGCTTAATTTATTTTACTTTTCTTTTGTGTTTGCATTCAGAAAGTAGCTTCCCAAAATAAAGAGCAGTGGGTGTTTTCCCACAGTTGTATGGAGGTTATCTACTCCATTGTCCCTTCCTCATGGAAGGATCAAAAACATTTACCAATATGTTATACACTTCAGGTAACAGTTGTTTGTGTTCCTTTCAATATTTTTTTCATCAGATATACGCTTGAAAATGATACTGTGCACAGGACTTCTCAACTTAGTTTCTGCCTTTCTAGTTAAGAAAAATGTATGTTTTAGTTTATTAACTATAAAATAAAATGCTCCTTTTTCTCTTCCTAGGCTTAAATAGAAAAATTAGTTAAAAAATCAAGAAACTATCTTATACACATTTCCACTATATTTTTCTGCTTTGAATCCAAAAGTAAATTGAGTGGTATAGTGAAAAGACAAAAGGATGGGGATTGGTGAGTTCATGGGCAGGAGACTTGGTTTCCACTGTTAGTTTTCTCATTATCTGTCAGTATGAATTGCCAGAAGTTTTTTCTCTTCTCTAGGCTGTAAAATCTGTAAAATGAGGGGACTGGAATAAAATGAGGTAAGACAATTCATTACTTAAAAATTACCTTGAATTCAATGTAAATGTAATATAACTTGTTATCTTCCAAAATATTAAAATGGCTTTGCATGAGTGCTTTGTAAACAACTCCCCAAGCTTTATTTAAAAAATATTTCTGGATATTTGTTTAGAAGAAACATTGCCAATTAAAACTTAGAGGACAAAACATTCTGAGTATTACTTACTGCTGGATCTTATAAAAATGCCAATAACATTTGGCTTTTTTGTTGTTGTTTTTTTTGAGGCGGAATCTCCCCCTGTTGCCTAGGCTGGAGTGCAATGGTGTGTTCTCAGCTCACTGAAACCTCCGCCTCCCAGGTTTAAGCAATTCTCCTGCCTCAGCCTCTCGTGAAGCTGGGATTATAGGCACATGCCAGCACACCTGGCTAATTTTTTGTATCTTTGGTACGGACTAGGTTTCACCATGTTGAGCAGGCTGGTCTGGAACTCTCGACCTCGTGATCCACCCGCTTCAGTCTCCCAAAGTGTTGGGATTACAAGAATGAGCCACCACACCCAACCTTTAGATTTTTTTTATAGTGTAAGTTCTTCTGTGGATGGCTATAGGCAAATCCGAGAGGCATTTTCACATTTTTGGCATTTAAAGGGGAGTCAGAGGCCCGCAACCCTCTGCTTCTACCCTGTAATCTATCTACTGAAGGATGAGCCCCCAGGAATGCTGGGAACCTCTCAAAATTCATTCACACACCTGCACAATCACCCACCAATTTATTAAAAAACAAGTTTCCTGTGAAAATTCTTGATTGCTTTCTGTGTGTGAAAGAAAAAAATCACAATAAAAAACATCTCGGAAATATCTTTAAACTTCTTTGCAAATTTATTTTTGGTGATTTTTAAAAGCTACACTGAATTACCCAAAATACTATAAATCATGCTGCTATAAAGACACATGCACACGTATGTTTACGGCGGAACTATTCACAATAGCAAAGACTTGGAACCAACACAAATGTCCAACAATGATAGACTGGATTAAGAAAATGTGGCACATATACACCGTGGAATACTATGCAGCCATAAAAAATGATGAGTTCATGTCCTTTGTAGGGACATGGATGAAATTGGAAATCATCATTCTCAGTAAACTATCACAAGGACAAAAAACCAAACACCACATGTTCTCACTCACAGGTGGGAATTGAAAAATGAGATCACATGGACACAGGAAGGGGAACATCACACTCTGGGGAATGTTGTGGGGTTGGGGAAGAGGGGAGGGATAACATTAGGAGATATACCTAATGCTAAATGATGAGTTAATGGGTGCAGCACACCAGGATGGCACATGTATACATACGTAACTAACCTGCACATTATGCACATGTACCCTAAAACTTAAAGTATTATAATAATAAAATAAAATAATAAAAAATAAAAGATATGCTGAATTTTCCTTTTTTAAAGGCAATGCAGACTTAAAAATGATTTTGTAATAGTTTACTGGTGTAAACGAAGATATCAGTGAAGATAACATTTATTTATATGCATTTTTAAATGCTATTTTCCTGCTTGTTTTCACCTTGTGTTTTATTCTTTATTTATAGTTTCAAAATGTTTTACTGAAGGGAAAATTTAATATTTTTGTTTTTTTTCTTTTCATTAAGTCTATGGGTACATTTATCATTTAAAAGATACTTTCAAAATAAAATTAGAGAAATTTAAAATAGATGTATGTATATATATTTATTGCCAATTTTCCTCAATAATTTGCTTGTAAACAAATACAATTGGCTGGGCGCAGTGGTTCATGTCTGTAATCCTAGCACTTTTGGAGGACAAAGGGGGCAGATTGCTTAAGCTCAGGCATTCAAGACCAGCCTGGGCAACATGGCGAAAGCCCATCTCTACCAAAAATACAAAAAATTAGCTGGACATGAGGGTGTGCACCTGTATGTAGTCCCAGCTACTCAGGAGGCTGAGGTGGGAGGATTGCTTGAGCCTGGAAGGAGGTGGAGGTGGCAGTGAGCCTAGATCATGCCACTGCACTCCAGCCTGGGTGACAGTGAGACCCTATCTCAAAAAAAAATACAATCAATGCCAGCAAGATACATCCTTGCAGAAGTGAATGAAATGATACAACTTAAAAATACTTAACAAAATTAATTTCATTAGTTAACATAAGTTTTTTCTGGAGTCTCACACTGTTGCTTGGGCTGGACTACAATGGTGCCGTCTCAACTCACTGCAACCTCTGCCTCCTGGATTGAAGAAATTCTCCTGCATCAGCCTCATGAGTAGTGTTCGCCAACACACCCAGCTAATTTTTTGTACTTTTTAGTAGAGATGGGGTTTCACTATGTTGGCCAGGCTGGTCTCGAAATGCTGACCTCATGATCTTCCCACCTCAGCCTCCCAAAGTGCTGAGATTACAGGTAGCCACCAGGCCGGCCTAACGTAAGTATCTTAACTCTATTTTCCTCAGAATATTAGTTACTTTATTAAGAACTGGAGAAAAAGAAACTACTGCTAAAATTGAACACAAACTTAGTAGAAATGTGTGTATATATATATATGATATATATGTTATATATGTTATATATGTTATATATATGTTATATATATGTTATATATGTGTTATATATGTTATATATATGTTATATATATACACAAACACATTTTATATATATACATTATATATGAATAGATTAATAGGAAGTTAAATAAACAGATTTTTCCTATTCAACTACCCAGTATATTGGGAACTCAGAAGAAAACTGATGAGGAAAGGGTAGAACTTAGGCTTATCAAAGAGTAAATTAAGGCACCAATACCAATAATTATATACAACAATTATGATATGCATGAAACATATCTAATTACATCACTTTCCCACTCACAATCTCTTCTTAAGACAAATATGCACATTCTCTTCTAGTCATAAGATATTAGATTAATCTGTAATCTTCAAAGGCTTCTTTGGTGTTTCCTTATCTATGACTTCCAAGCTTCCAAGTTTCCCCTTTTCTCTAGTTGGCTGCAATAGCTCTGTGCTCAGATTCACTTGGCAGTCCTTGCCTGCAGATCTTTTTGCCTTAAGAGCCAGCATTTTATTTATTTTCACTTTTAGTGTAAGTCCACAATTACTCATATGATCATTCAACAATTCTTTCATCAGAGATTCCTATTTGTGAAGTACTCTTCCAGGCATTGGGTGATTCAGTAGTGCATAAAACTAACCAAATGTTTCTGCCTTCATATAGCTTCCAACTCAAGAGCAAACAAATATTTAATTTCAAGTAGTGCTGTGAATAAAAGAAAAGGGAGTAGAGAGTTGGCAGAAGGAATGGGGTGAACAATGCTTCTACAGAGAGATGACATTTAAATGACATAAAGAATTAGGTAGGTAAATACTTGGAAGAAGAGCGTTCTGGGCAGAGGAGATAGACAAGTTCCACATCCTTGTTGTATGAAGCAGCTTGAAATGTTCAAGGAAATCTATAGAAGACCAGTGTTCTGCTCTTCTGGCAGGTGAGGACACAGCATTCTTCTCCTCTGGAAGATGCAGTTACAGGGTGCCATCTTGGAAATAGAGAGCAGCACTCACCAGACACCTAATCTGCTTTTGCATTGATATTGAACTTCATGGCCTCCTGAACTGTAAATTACTAAGTCTAAGGTACTTCATGGCCTCACAAATTAAGACAAATTGGTATTGACAAGTGAATGTGCTGCTCTAACATATACCTAAAAATGTGAATGTGGCTTTGGAACTGGGTAGAGGTTGGAAGAATTTTAAGGTGCAGGCTAGTAAAAGCTTAGATTGCCATGAATAGATTGTTAAGGGCAATTCTGGTGAGAGCTTAGAAGAGGAGAGCTATAGAGAAAGCCTCAGTTTTAGAGATTACCTATGTGGTCATGAACAGAATGTTCATAGAAATATGGACAGTAATGGCCATTCTGATGAGGTCTCAGATGGAAATGAAGACTATCTTACTGGAAAATAGAGGAAATGCCATCCTTGTTACTAAGTGGCAAAGTATTTGCCGGACTCGTCTCCATGTTCTGTTTTGTGAAAGGCAGAATTTAGGCTGGGCGCGGTGGCTCACACCTGTAATCCCAGCACTTTGGGAGGCCGAGGCAGGTGGATCATGAGGTCAGGAGATCGAGACCATCCTGGCTAACACGGTGAAACTCCGTCTCTACTAAAAACACAAAAAAATAGCCGGGCGCGGTGGCGGGTGCCTGTAGTCCCAGCTATGCAGGAGGCTGAGGCAGGAGAATGGCGTGAACCCCGGGGGACGGAACCTGCAGTGAGTGGAGATCGCGCCACTGCACTCCAGCCTGGGTGAAAGACTGAGACTTCATCTCAAAAAAAAAAAAAAAAAAAAAAAAAAAAAAGAGAAAGGCCAGATTTACAATGATGAACTAGAATATTTGGTGAAATAAATATCTAAACAAATTGTTCAGGGTGCTGGATGGCATGGCTTAGCTGCTTATAGTAAAATGCAATAAAAGAGAAACACATTAAAGATTTATAATTCTAAGGGAATTAAAAAGGGGAGAAGACCCTGAAGATTTCGAAAATTGTTAACCTCGCCTAGTAAAGAATAAAAACCTATGTTTAGGAGACAAAACCAAGTGTGTGGCCAAGTGACCATTAGATGAGGAGATTAGTATAGATAGGAAGAAGCCAGATTCCTTTTATCAGAACAATGGAGGAATGATCCTGATGGCAAAACAGAGATCTTCCAGGCTACCTCTCTCACCACAGGCACAAAGAACTAAGTCTTTGAGGGCAGAATAGTTTCAAGGGAGGGTCCCGGGATGCCTGAAGATCCTCAGTGTTTGCTGCCTAAGCCCACCTCAAGTCTCTGCTTCCCCCATTCCAATGTAGTGCTCCACAGCATTCTCAGCTGTGGCTCAAGTGGGCTTAGTTGCAGCAAGGGCAAGTTCTCTGGAAGATACAGGCTATAATCCTTGACAGCATTCATGTGGTGCTAACTTTGCAGTCACGCAGAGCAAATGAGCTGTGGAGGCATGGATACCTCCTAATTTTCAATGAATGCCCCAGAGAAACTTGGGGTCCAGTCAGAGAAATACTGCAGGATCAGGGCCACTGCGGAATGCCTGCATTAGTCTGTTTTCATATTGCTATAAAGAACTGCCTGAGACTGGGTAATATATAAAGGAAATAGGTTTAATTGACTCACAGTTCAACATGGATGGGGAAATCTTAACAATCATGGAGGAAGGCAAAGAGGAAGCCAGGCACCTTCTCACAAGGCAGCAGAAAGAAGAAGTGCTGAGTAACAGGGTAAGAGCCCTGTGTTAGTCCATTCTCACACTGCTAATAAAGACATACCTGAGACTGGATAATTTATAAAGGAAAGAGGTTTAATTGACTCACAGTTCTATGGGGCTGGAGGGGAATCAGGAAACTTACAATCATGATGGAAGGGGAAGCAACAAGTCCTTTCTCACATGGCATCAGAAAGGAGAAGTCCTGAGCAAAGGGGGAAAAGCCCCTTATAAACCATCTGGTGAGAACTCACTCACTATCATGACAACAATATGGAGGTAACCACTCCCATGATTACATTACTTCCCACTTGTTCCCTCCTATGACACATGAAGATAATGGGAACTACAACTGAAGATGAGATTTGGGTGGGGACACAAACAAACCACATCAAGCCCCTTATAAAACTATCAGATCTCATGATAACTCACTAATTATCAAATGCCCCCATGATTCGATTACTTCCACCTGGTCCCACCCTTGACATGTGGGTATTATGGGGATTACAGTCCAAGATGAGATTTCGGTGGGGACACCAGGAAGCCTAACCATATCATTCCCTCCACTAGCGCAATGCGCAGTTGAGCCATGGGGTCAGGGTTACCAAAGGGGATCTCGACAGGGGAAATGTCCAGTGGAGCTAAGGGGTCATGGATACTGCAGATAGCCACCACTAGAGCAGTGTTTACCAAGATTATTGGATGAAGGTCACCTCCAAGACCCCAGGCCTGCACAGCCGCTACTGCAATGCCAGCCTGGGAGAGCTCCAGGCAAATTAAATCAAACCCTAAGAGCTGTGGCATGGCTGTACCCCAAAAATCAATGTGAGAAAGTTTTTTGCAGCCTTGGGGACTCAACCTTCACTCAAGTGTGTCTGGAATGTGGGACATGGAGTCAAATAATATTATTCTCAGGCCTTAAGATACAATGTTGTTCGTCCCGTTTTGTTTTGAAACCAAAAGCAAACTATCACCCCTTTCCTCTTACCTAGTTGTATCTTTTGGATTGGGAATACCTATCCCATGACCATCTTCCAATGGTATTTTGGACTCTGAATGGTAATTTGACTCTAGATGAATCATACTTTGAGTATCCCCCATATCTGATTTAGATAATATTTGCATGTTCTAGATCAGACTTTGCATATAGACTTTAAAAGTTATGCTGGAATGTGTTAACACTTTTGGGATAGAATTAATGTATTTTTGTATGTGAGGAGAACATGAATTTTGGCCCACCACTGGTAGAGTGCTATGGTTTGAATGTGTCCCTTCCAAAATTCACATGTTGAAATTCACCCCCATGGTGATGATATTAAAAGGTGAGGCCTTTTGGGAAGTGATTAAGTCATGAGGGACAGATCATTATAAAAGGGAAGGAAGGAACTAACTTAAGCCCTTTGGGCTTTTCTTCCACATGAGAATACAGCATTTCTCCCATTTGGAGATGCAGCAACAAGGTAATAGCTTAGACAAAGTGTGTAACCCTCACTAGACATCAAACTTTCTGGTATCTTGATCTTGGACTTCCTGGCCTCTGGAGTTATAAAAGGTTAATTTGCTTTCTTTATAAACTACCCAGTCTAAGTTATTTTGTATAGCATCACAAATAGACTAATATAAGTTATTGACTTTTTTCTTTTATATTTTGTACTTTTTCTGTTGTATTTTAAAAAATCTATGCCAAATCCAGATTCATAAATATGTTGTTCCACATTATCTTCTTGAAATTTTATAGTTTTAGATGTTATATCTAAATCTAAATTCCATCTTGACTAAATTTTAATATATGGTGTAAGGTGTGGATTGAAGTTAATTATAATTGTTATTTACATATGGATATCTAATTTTTCTAACACAATTTGTAAAAATGACTATCCTTTTCCACCAAATTTTATGTAGATCTTTGTCAAAAATCAACAGACCATTTTGGTCTGGGTCAATTTCTGGACTCAGTATTCAATTTCATTGATATATGTGTCTGTCTTGATAACCATTTGTAAAATCAAGTCTACAAATCATCTGATGTTAGTATTTCAGTGGTGTTTTTACTTTTAAAGTTTTAATGGATATTCCAGTTCCTTTGTATTTCCACATACATTTTATAATTGGCTTCTCTTTTTTCTTAAGCCTGCTAGGTTTCTGATTGAGATTACATTGATTCTATTAATAACATAGTGGAAGATTTGAAATTATAACAATATTCAGCCATCAAACCCTCAATAAGCCCCTACTGAACCCAAAAGGGGCCTATTATCCCCTTCCATTATTCATATGCTATATCAATATATGATATTTCTCCTATCAATTATGCATAATAATATGCTTCACTGTATTTAGGTTTTCTTTAATTTGTCTTTACAATACTGTGTTGTTTCTGCTATATAGTTCTTGCATAGATTTTGTCAAATTTATTATTATGTATTTTATATTTTTGTTTGTTAGTGGCATTGTTTTAAAATTTTAATTTCTAATTTTTAGTGTAGTTTATAGATTTATCATTTTATACTGACCTTAGATTCCACAACCTTGAAAAATCCACTTATTAGTTCTAGATGATTTTTGTAGATTGTAACATTTTTTTAAATTTAGATGATATTGTCTATTAATAAGCGGTGTTATTTATTTCATTCTGGAAAGATTTTTTTTAATTATACTTTAAGTTTTAGGGTACATGTGCACAATGTGCAGGTTAGTTATGTATGTATACATGGGCCATGCTGGTGTGCTGCACCCACTAACTCGTCATCTAGCATTAGTTATATCTCCCAATGCTATCCCTCCCCCCTCCCCCCACCCCACAACAGTCCCCAGAGTGTGATGTTCCCCTTCCTGTGTCCATGTGTTCTCATTGTTCAATTCCCACCTACGAGTGAGAATATGCGGTGTTTGGTTTTTTGTTCTTGCAATAGTTTACTGAGAATGATGATTTCCAATTTCATCCATGTCCCTACAAATGACATGATCTCATCATTTTTTATGGCTGCATAGTATTCCATGGTGTATATGTGGCACATTTTCTTAATCCAGTCTATCATTGTAGGACATTTGTGTTGGTTCCAAGTCTTTGCTATTGTGAATGATGTCGCAATAAACATACGTGTGCATGTGTTTTTATAACAGCATGATTTATAATCCTTTGGGTATATACCCAGTAATGGGATGGCTGGGTCAAATGGTATTTCTAGATCTAGATACCTGAGGAATCGTCACACTGACTTCCACAATGTTTGAACTAGTTTACAGTCCCACAAACAGTGTAAAAGTGTTCCTATTTCTCCACATCCTCTCCAGCAAGTGTTGTTTCCTGACTTTTTAATGATCCCCATTCTAACTGGTATGAAATGGTATTTCACTGTGGTTTCAATTTGCATTTCTCTGATGGCCAGTGATGGTGAGCATTTTTTCATGTGTTTTTTTGGCTGCATAAATGTCCTCTTTTGAGAAGTGTCTGTTCATGTCCTTTGCCCACTTCTTGATGGGGTTGTTTGTTTTTTTCTTGTAAATTTGTTTGAGTTCACTGTAGATTCTGCATATTAGCCCTTTGTCAGATAAGTAGGTTGTGAAAATTTTCTCCCATTTTGTAGGTTGCCTGTTCACTCTGATGGTAGTTTCTTTTGCTGTGCAGAAGCTCTTTAGTTTAATTAGATCCCATTTGTCAATTTTGGCTTTTGTTGTCATTGCTTTTAGTGTTTTAGACATGAAGTCCTTGCCCATGCCTATGTCCTGAGTGGTAATGCCTAGGTTTTCTTCTAGGGTTTTTATGATTTTAGATCTAACATTTAAGTCTTTAATCCATCTTGAATTGATTCTTGTATAAGGTGTAAGGAAGGGATCCAGTTTCAGCTTTCTACATATGGCTAGCCAGTTTTCCCAGCACCATTTATTAAACAGGGAATCCTTTCCACATTGCTTGTTTTTCTCAGGTTTGTCAAAGATCAGATAGTTGTAGATATGTGGTGTGATTTCTGAGGGCTCTGTTCTGTTCCATTGATCTATATCTCTGTTTTGGTACCAGTACCATGCTGTTTTGGTTACTGTAGTGTAGCCTTGTAGTATAGTTTGAAGTCAGGTAGTGTGATGCCTCCAGCTTTGTTCTTTTGGCTCAGGATTGACTTGGTGATGTGGTCTCTTTTTTAGTTCCATATGAACTTTAAAGTAGTTTTTTTCCAATTCTGTGAAGAAAGTCATTGGTAGCTTGATGGGGATGGCACTGAATCTATAAATTACCTTGGGCAGTATGGCCATTTTCACGATATTGATTCTTCCTACCCATGAGCATGGAATGTTCTTCCATTTGTTTGTATCCTCTTTTGATTCATTGAGCAGTGGTTTGTAGTTCTCCTTGAAGAGGTCCTTGACATCCCTTGTTAGTTGGGTTCCTAGGTATTTTATTCTCTTTGAAGCAATTGTATATGGGAGTTCACTCATGATTTGGCTCTCTGTTTGTCTGTTGTTGGTGTATAAGAATGCTTGTGATTTTTGTACATTGATTTTGTATCCTGAGACTGCTGAAGTTGCTTATCAGCTTAAGGAGATTTTGGGCTGAGACAATGGGGTTTTCTAGATATACAATCATGTCGTCTGCAAACAGAGACAATTTGACTTCCTCTTTTCCTAATTGAATACCCTTTATTTCCTTCTCCTGCCTAATTGCCCTGGCCAGAACTTCCAATACGATGTTGAATAGCAGTGGTGAGAGAGGTCATCCCTGTCTTGTGCCAGTTTTCAAAAGGAATGCTTCCAGTTTTTGCCCATTCAGTATGATATTGGCTGTGGGTTTGTCATAGATAGCTCTTATTATTTTGAGATACATCCCATCAATACCTAATTTATTGGGAGTTTTTAGCATGAAGCGTTGTTTAATTTTGTCAAAGGCCTTTTCTGCATCTATTGAGATAATCACGTGGATTTTGTGTTTGGTTCTGTTTATATGCTGGATTACATTTATTGATTTGTGTATATTGAACCAGCCTTGGATCCCAGGGATGAAGCCCACTTGATCATGGTGGATAAGCTTTTTGATGTGCTGCTGGATTCGGTTTGCCAGTATTTTATTGACGATTTTTGCGTCAATGTTCATCAAGGATATTGGTCTTAAGTGCTCTTTTTTGGTTGTGTCTCTGCCTGGCTTTGGTATCAGGATGATGCTGGCCTCATAAAATGAGTTAGGGAGGATTCCCTCTTTAGGATTCCCTCTTTTTCTACTGATTGGAATAGCTTCAGAAGGAATAGTACCTGTTCCTCCTTGTACCTCTGGTAGAATTCGGCTGTGAATCCATCTGGTCCTGGACTTTCGTTGGTAAGCTATTGATTATTGCCACAATTTCAGCTCCTGTTATTGGTCGATTCAGAGCTTCAACTTCTTCCTGGTTTAGTCTTGGGAGAGTGTATGTGTCGAGGAATTTATCCATTTCTTCTAGATTTTCTAGTTTATTTGCGTAGAGGTGTTTGTAGTATTCTCTGATGGTAGTTTGTATTTCTGTAGGATCGGTGGTGATATCCCCTTTATCTTTTTTTTATTGTGTCTATTTGATTCTTCTCTCTTTTTTTCTTTATAGTCTTGCTAGCAGTCTATCAATTTTGTTGATCCTTTCAAAAAACCAGCTCCTGGATTTGTTAATTTTTTGAAGGGTTTCAAAAATTAGTTGAGCGGTTTTGAGGGAGATTCTTAATCCTGATTGCACTGTGGTCTGAGAGATAGTTTGTTACAATTTCTGTTCTTTTACATTTGCTGAGGAGAGCTTTATTTCCAAGTATGTGGTCAATTTTGGAATAGGTATGGTGTGGTGCTGAAAAAAATTGTATATTCTGTTGATTTGGGATGGAGAGTTCTGTAGATGTCTATTAGGTCCGCTTGGTGCAGAGCTGAGTTCAATTCCTGGGTATCCTTGTTGACTTTCTGGCTCGTTGATCTGTCTAATGTTGACAGTGGGGTGTTAAAGTCTCCCATTATTAATGTGTGGGAGTCTAAGTCTCTTTGTAGGTCGCTCAGGACTTGCTTTATGAATCTGGGTGCTCCTGTATTGGGTGCATATACATTTATGATAGTTAGCTCTTCTTGTTGAATTGATCCCTTTACCATTAAGTAATGGCCTTCTTTGTCTCTTTTGATCTTGTTGGTTTAAAGTCTGTTTTATCAGAGACTAGGATTGCAACCCCTGCCTTTTTTGTTTTCCATTTGCTTGGTAGATCTTCCTCCATCCTTTTATTTTGAGCCTATGTGTGTCTCTGCACGTGAGATGGGTTTCCTGAATACAGCACACTGATGGGTCTTGACTCTTTATCCAATTGGCCAGTCTGTGTCTTTTAATTGGAGCATTTAGTCCATTTACACTTAAAGTTAATATTGTTATGTGTGAATTTGATCCTGTCATTATGATGTCAGCTGGTTATTTTGCTCGTTACTTGATGCAGTTTCTTCCTAGTTTCAATGGTCTTTACATTTTGGCATGATTTTGCAGCGGCTGGTACCGGTTTTTCCTTTCCATGTTTAGCACTTCCTTCAGGAGCTCTTTTAGGGCAGGCCTGGTGATGACAAAATCTCTCAGCTTTTGCTTGTCTGTAAAGTGTTTTATTTCTCCTTCACTTAGGAAGCTTAGTTTGGCTGGACATGAAATTCTGGGTTGAAAATTCTTTTCTTTAAGAATGTTGAATATTGGCCCCCACTCTCTTCTGGCTTGTAGAGTTTCTGCCAAGAGATCTGATGGGCTTCCCTTTGAGGATAACCCAACCTTTCTCTCTGGCTGCACTTAACATTTTTTCCTTCATTTCAACTTTGGTGAATCTGACAATTATATCTTGGTGTTGCTCTTCTCGAGGAGTATCTTTGTGGCATTCTCTGTATTTCCTGAATCTGAATGTTGGCCTGCCTTGCTAGATTGGGGAAGTTCTCCTGGATAATATCCTGCAGAGTGTTTTCCAACTTGGTTCCATTCTCCCCGTCACTTTCAGGTACACCAATCAGATGTAGATTTGGTCTTTTCACATAGTCCTGTATTTCTTGGAGCCTTTCTCATTTCTTTTTATTCTTTTTTCTCTAAACTTCCCTTCTCTCTTCATTTCATTCATTTCATCTTCTATCGCTGATACCCTTTCTTCCAGTTGATCGCATTGGCTCCTGCATTCTTCACGTAGTTCTCGAGCCTTGGTTTTCAGCTCCATCAGCTCCTTTAAGCACTTCTCTGTATTGGTTATTCTAGTTATACATTCTTCTAAAATTTTTTCAAAGTTTTCAACTTCTTTGCCTTTGGTTTGAATGTCCTCCTGTAGCTGGGAGTAATTTGATCATCTGAAGGCTTCTTCTCTCAGCTCATCAAAGTCATTATCCGTCCAGCTTTGTTCCATTGCTGGTGAGGAACTGCGTTCCTTTGGAGGAGGAGGGGCGCTCTGCTTTTTAGAGTTTCCAGTTTTTCTGCTCTGTTTTTTCCCTATTTTGTGGTTTTATCTACTTTTGATCTTTGATGATGGTGATGTACAGATGGGTTTTTGTTGTGGATGTCCTTTCTTTTTTTTTTTTTTTTTTTTTTTTTGTATTTAAGAGTAGAAACATTTTAATTGGAATTTTAACAACACTAATGGATTTTTGTTGGAGAAGATGCTTTCTGAGGAAAAGACTAAGTCAATTTAAGACCATAATTTTCTCTATCGCACAAATTATTTCCAATTGTTTTCATTTACATTGTTATTTCACTAAAATTCTTTTTTTTTTTTTTTTTTATTATACTCTAAGTATTAGGGTACATGTGCACATTGTGCAGGTTAGTTACATATGTATACATGTGCCATGCTGGTGCGCTGCACCCACTAATGTGTCATCTAGCATTAGGTATATCTCCCAATGCTATCCCTCCCCCCTCCCCCGACCCCACCACAGTCCCCAGAGTGTGATATTCCCCTTCCTGTGTCCATGTGATCTCATTGTTCAATTCCCACCTATGAGTGAGAATATGCGGTGTTTGGTTTTTTGTTCTTGCGATAGTTTACTGAGAATGATGGTTTCCAATTTCATCCATGTCCCTACAAAGGATATGAACTCATCATTTTTTATGGCTGCATAGTATTCCATGGAGTATATGTGCCACATTTTCTTAATCCAGTCTATCATTGTTGGACATTTGGGTTGGTTCCAAGTCTTTGCTATTGTGAATAGTGCTGCAATAAACATACGTGTGCATGTGTCTTTATAGCAGCATGATTTATAGTCCTTTGGGTATATATACCCAGTAATGGGATGGCTGGGTCAAATGGTATTTCTAGTTCTAGATCCCTGAGGAATCGCCACACTGACTTCCACAATGGTTGAATTAGTTTACAGTCCCACCAACAGTGTCAAAGTGTTCCTATTTCTCCACATCCTCTCCAGCACCTGTTGTTTCCTGACTTTTTAATGATTGCCATTCTAACTGGTGTGAGATGATATCTCATAGTGGTTTTGATTTGCATTTCTCTGATGGCCAGTGATGATGAGCATTTCTTCATGTGTTTTTTGGCTGCATAAATGTCTTCTTTTGAGAAGTGTCTGTTCATGTCCTTCGCCCACTTTTTGATCTACAACTATCTGATCTTTGACAAACCTGAGAAAAACAAGCAATGGGGAAAGGATTCCCTATTTAATAAATGGTGCTGGGAAAACTGGCTAGCCATATGTAGAAAGCTGAAACTGGATCCCTTCCTTACACCTTATACAAAAATCAATTCAAGATGGATTAAAGATTTAAACGTTAGACCTAAAACCATAAAAACCCTAGAAGAAAACCTAGGCATTACCATTCAGGACATAGGCGTGGGCAAGGACTTCATGTCCAAAACACCAAAAGCAATGGCAACAAAAGCCAAAATTGACAAATGGGATCTAATTAAACTAAAGAGCTTCTGCACAGCAAAAGAAACTACCATCAGAGTGAACAGGCAACCTACAACATGGGAGAAAATTTTCGCAACCTACTCATCTGACAAAGGGCTAATATCCAGAATCTACAATGAACTCAAACAAATTTACAAGAAAAAAACAAACAACCCCATCAAAAAGTGGATGTCCTTTCTGTTCGTTAGTTTTCCTTCTAACAGACAGGACCCTCAGCTGCAGGTCTGTTGGAGTACCCGGCCATGTGAGGTGTCATGCCCCTGCTGGAGGGTGCCTCCCAGTTAGCCTGCTCAGGGGTCAGGAGTCAGGGACCCACTTGAGAAGGCAGTCTGCCAGTTCTCAGATCTCCAGCTGCATGCTGGGAGAACCACTGCTCTCTTCAAAGCTGTCAGACAGGGACATTTAAGTCTGCAGAGGTTACTGCTGTCTTTTTGTTTTTCTGTTCCCTGCCCCCAGAGGTGGAGCCTACAGAGACAGGCAGACCTCCTTCAGCTGTGGTGGGCTCCACCCTGTTGGACGTTCCTGGCTGCTTTGTTTACCTAAGCAAACCTGGGCAGTGTAGGGCGCCCCTCCCCCAGCCTAGCTGCCGCCTTGCAGTTTGATCTCAGACTGCTGTGCTAGCAATCAGCGAGACTCCGTGGGCATAAGACCCTCCAAGCCAGGTGGGGGATATAATCTCCTCATGCACCGTTTTTTAAGCCCATCGGAAAAGCACAGTATTTGGGTGGGAGTGACCCGATTTTCCAGGTGCCATCTGTCACCACTTTCTTTGACTAGGAAAGAGGGAACTCCCTGACCCCTTGCGCTTCCCGAGTGAGGCTGTGCCTCACCCTGCTTCGGCTCGCGGACAGTGCATGCACCCACTGGCCTGTGCCCACTGTCTGGCACTCCCTTGTGAGATGAACCTGGTACCTCAGATGGAAATGCAGAAATCACCCGTCTTCTGCGTCGCTCATGCTGGGAGCTGTAGACTGGAGCTGTTCCTATTTGGCCATCTTGGCTCCTCCCCCCCAGAAAGATTTTACATCTTTTTCTTCAATTATTACATTGTCTAGAAACACTAATACAACATTGAAGAGAAGTAGTCAGCACTAATATCTTCATTTTTTTCTCTATCTTCGAGGGAAAACCATTCAACGTTTTATCATTAAGTATGGTGCTGTAGGTTTATTACAGATGCCTTTTATCAGATAGGAGTATTACCTTTTTATTGCTAATTTGCTGAAAGTTTAATTTTATCAAGAATGGATGTTGGATTTTGTCAAGTGCTTTTTCTGTGTCTATTGTCTTGCTTTCTTTTATAGGCTGTTAATTTTTAATGATGCTGAGTGATACTGATTATTTTTCTAACGATAATTCAACATTACATAAAACTCACTTGATTATGGATATTTTATCCATTCTGCATACTGTTTTAGTAAAAAAATAGTTAGAAAATTTTGAATTTGTTCATGGGGGACATTAGTTTGTGATTTTCTTGTAATTTGTTTGTCTAGCTTTGGCATCAAGGTAATGTTGGGCTTGTATAGTGAGATAGATAGCATTCTCTCCTTTTAATTTTCTAGAAGATTTTGTGTAGAGTTGGTATTATTTCTTCTTTTGATGTTCGTTAGAATTCTTATGCAAAGTAATCTGGGCCAGACATTTTCTTTGTGTGAAAGTTTTGTTTAAAAATTTCATTTCTGTTTTTAGATATAGTGTTGGGTTTATCTATTTATTTTTGTGTTAGCATTGGTAGCTTGTCTTTTCAAGGTATTTGTCATTCAGTTGTTGCTTTTATTTGCATAAAGTTGTTTTTGACATTTAATTATTATCCACTTAATAGATGTAGAACTTTAGTGATGGCACCTCTATCATTCCTAATGTGTATATTTTTTCCACATTGATATGGCTATAGGTTTATCAGTTATATTAATCATTTCAATGAACTACCTTTTCATTACATTGATTTTCCTTAGTATATTTTTGTTTTCTGTTTCATTTCTACTTTAATTTTATTTTCTTCATTCTGTTTATTTTGGGTTTCATTTGCTCTTTTGTCTTATTTTCTCAATATAGAAATGTAGATGCTCTCATTGTTATGAGGGCAATCTTTTTTTGTCTCTCTCTGATGTCCAGGCTGCAGTTCAGTGGCACCACCTTGGCTCAGTGCAACCTCCGCCTCCTAGGTTCAAGTGATTCTGTTGTCCCAGCCTCCTAGGTAACTGGGATTACAGGCATGCACAATTATGCCCTGCTAATTTTTGTATTTTTGGTAGAGACAGGTTTTCCATGTTGGCCAGACCCGTCTTGAACTGCTGACCTCAGGTGATTCACCTGCCTGGCCCTCCCAAAGTGATAGGATTATAGGCATGAGCCACCACGCCCAGCTGAGACCAATCTTGTATGACGTAGAAATTTTAGTGCTATAAATTTACCTTCCAATATTTTTAAATCTGAGTCCCACAAATTTTGGTAGGTTGTCTTTTCACTCTCATTTAATTCAAATTATTTTCTAATTGTATCTTATTCTTTCCTTGATCCATCTCCTCTCCGGAACTATGCTATTTAGTGTTAAAATACTTGGGAATTTCCTAGACATTTTTTTTCTGATATTAATTCCTAGTTTAAGTCCATTGTGGTCAGCGAATGTACTTTGTATGGCTTCAATCATTTTACATTTATTCAGACTTGTTTAATGATCCTGCATCTGGCTTATCTTGGTATATGTTCTGTGTGCACTCGAAAAGACTGCATATTCTACTGTTGTTGTGTCACGTGTTCTACCAAAGTCAGTTAAGTCAAGTTATTTGATATTGTTTTTCAAGTCTGTATATTTTACTGATTTTTTCCAAATCTTTTATCATTTATTAAAAGAGGAATATTGACATATTTGACTATAATTGTGAATTTACCTATTTCTCCTTTAAGTTTTATTAATTTTTGCAATGTTGATTTTGAAGCACAGTTATTTTGGATGCCTAAATATCAAATTTTTAAATTCTTACATTTCCTTGGTAAATTCTCCCTTTATCAGTTTACAATGTCCCTCATTTTGCATGTGATATTCTTGCCTCTGACATCTACCCTATCATATTATATAGGTATTCTAGCTTTGTTTTCAAACAATGTTTCCTCTTTGCATTTAATGTGGAAATTACTCTCCTAATGTTTTCAATGTTAATGGTAGCTTTAGTTTGCTAAAGTGGCCATAGTAAAACACCACAAACTAGGGGGCTTATACATCATATATTTTCTCACAGTTCTGGGGACTGGAAGTTTAATATCAAGGTGTTGACAAGGTTGGTTTCTTCTGAGGGCTCTCAGAATCTACAACCTCTCTTGCCTAGCTAGATTCAGTGACTTTTCTGCCTTTGTTTTCATGTGACATTCTACCTGGGTATGTGCCTCTACCTCCAGATTTCCCGGTTATTAAAATGCCAGTAGTATTGTAGTGTTGGATTAAGTCTTTTCCTAATTACTTCATCTTAGCTCACATCTGCAAGAATCTCATATTAAAATAATATCACATTCTGTGGCACTGCGGTTTGAAACTTCAACATACTAATATGGGGGAACAAAATTCAATTGTAGTGTTGGTCTTTTCTTCTGCAGTGCTGAATCTGCTATATATCCACCCATTTTATTTTTGATTTCAGACGTGTAATTCACATCCACGGAAGTTTGATTTTGGTATGTCTTTCATATGTTTACTTAACATGTTCAACCTTTCCTCTTCCTTTTTTTTTTTTTTTTCCTGTCACCCAGGCTGGAGTGCAGTGGCGCAATCTCCGCTCACTGCTCCCTCCGCCTCCCGCGTTCAAGCGATTCTCCTGCCTCAGCCTTCCACGTAGCTGAGACTACAGGCGCGTCACATCAAGGCCCTCTAATTCTTTGAATTTTTAGTAGAGACACAGTTTCACCGCGTTAGCCAGGATGGTCTCAATCTCCTGACTTTGTGATCCACATGTCTTGGCCTCCCAAAGTGCTGGGATTACAGGCGTGAGACACCGCACCCGGCCCACCTTTCCTCTTATGTATTGAACATATATAATAGAGTTAGAATATTTGTAGCTATTTTAATATTATTGTCTACTTATTCTATACGTGCCATTTTCTGGCCTCTTCCTGTTGAATGGCTTTTCTCTTATTTTCCTGGCTTCATGCATGCTTAGTAATTTTTTATTTGATGTCAGAAAATGTGGATTTTACTTTTTTGATGGTGTTTTTCTTCTTCTAATATTATTTTCACACTTAAATCTGAGATGCTTTAAGTTTACTTGGAACAAAAAAACAAAACAAAACATTGATTCTTTCAAGGCTTGTTTTTGAACTTTGTTGGAACCAGACTAGGTATTAATCTCGGGCTTTTTTTTTTTCCACTACTGTGGCGATACCCTCTGAGGAACCTACCTAATGTCATGTGAAGTACAAGGTTTTTCACTCTGAATTATGGGAACATGAACTGTTTGAGCACTAAGAATTTTTTTCTCTACTGTTTTTAGATAGTTATTTCTCCAGCCTCGGTTAGTTTCCTCACATTCATGCACTGATTCGTGCTCAACTAGAGCTGAGGAGGACCTTCAACAAATCTCTGCAGTTGTCATATTTTTTGTGCATGTCTTTTTTCTCTTGTATTCTTCCCTGAAAATTCTAGCTGTATTTCCCTTTCTGGACTCCTAGCTCTGTCATCTCAACTTAGGGAGGCTACTGGATTCCATTTGGGTTCTCCCTTTGTATGATACAGCCCAAAATCTCCTTTCAGGCAGTAAGCCCGGACAATCATAAGGCTTTATTTTGCTTTCACCCTCTAAGGAATTATTCTCTTTCACTACCTAATTTCTAACACTTAAAAACATTGATATATGTATGTATACAGTCCAGTGTTTTCAGTTGTTTCTACCAGGAAGATAACTGCATTACAAGTTATCCCATCTCAGCTAGATGTTTCCTAAGAGAATATACTATTATTTAACTATTTGTAATGAAAATAATACATTCCTATAAAAATTTCAAGCAGTACAGATGTATATACAGAAAAACTTACATTTCTACCATTCTCCCCACCCTCTTTCTCGCAAAATTCAACTGAATTCCTGGTCTTCAAAGGAAACAGATCAGCTCACAATTGGTATGCTCACTTACAGATAATTTTATATTCATTTAAATATATATACACACATACTTTATATATATATATTCATACACATATATGCAAATATTACAAATATATAAATATATATTTTTAGACAGGGTCTTGCTCTGTTGCCCAGGCTGGAGTACATTGGCACGCTCTCAGCTTACTGCGCCTCAACCTCGCAGGCTCAAGCAATTCTCCCACCTCAGCCTCCTGAGTAGTTGGGACTACAGGCATATGTCACCATACCTGGCTCTTTTTTGTTTTTGTTTTTGTAGAAAAGAGGTCTCACTATGTTGCCTAGGCTGGTCTCAAATTCCTGGACTCAGGCAATCCTTCTGGCTCAGCCACCCAAAGTGTTGGGATTATAGGCATAAGCTGCTGCAATTGGCCTATGTAAATATTTTGATATAAATGACATATAAAGCACTTTCTGTAGATTAATTTTCTTGTCTAAATCTGTATCTTTGTTTTTCTTCTATATTTGCCATACGTATCTATATAAATATTTTAATTGCTGGCATATAACTTCATAGTATGGATACATCATTTTTAAATTTAGGTACTTCTCTGTTTGATGTTCAATGTTATTCGCCGATTTTTTCTGTTTAACAAATGCTACAATGAACATTTTTGAATCATGTTTTTGTGCACATGTAGGATTTCTAAAAGAAAAATTCTTAAAAATTTAATGCGCATTTTAAAGTTTGCTAGAGATTGCCAAAATATCCTGTAGAGTACTTGTACTTTGTTCACATTTAACAATGTTAGGATTTCCTATTCCCTCATCATTTTTTGCGTCAATTAAATGGAAGAAAATTGCTTCTTTGTTTTAATTTATATTTACTTCATGAATAGTAAAGTTGAATATCTTTACTTATCTATTTATAGTTATTAATCTGTGAATTGTTGCTGTATTTTTCTATTGGGTTGTTTGATGTTTTATTTATAGAAAGAATTGTATAGTCATTTGTTTGTTATACATATTGCAAGTATTTTCTCATAGTCTCTTCTTTATATTTTACATTTGTATAAGAAATAATTTGCCATATAGAAGTAGTGTTTGAAAACATGCCTTTTGAGAAAGGGCATATCTTGTTCTGTTTTTTCCCATTTTTGGAAAACTCCTTCTCATCCACCAGCTGCAGGGCAAATCACTCAACTAAAATGTTTAACTGGTTTTGAGAAAGAGAAAAACAGCTTCTGACATTCACAAGATATGCCCAGTTGCTAACAGCTGGCTTGGCACTCACAGCTAGGCCTTGGTATTACTATTTCAGGAACACCAGCATTAAATGAGGCTACTCTGTGACCATGATAGATGAAGGCGAAAAAAAGACCACTCTGCAGTCATGTCTGAACACAGACAGAACAGGAACATTGTGCAAGTCAGAAAACTCACCAGTTGTCTCACTATTCTGACTAATATAAGTTACTGCTTTTTTTCTTTTACCAATTACAACTTTACCCTTGCTTTAGACTGCCCTCACAATAGATAAGATGTATTAAGATACTTAATCATCACATTACCCTTACTTCCTGAGAGTATTCAATCCAGAGAAAAATTCTGATCCCTCAATATTTCTCCCAAATCACCTAATACAAATCCAAACACTATAACAAGTCCTTTTATTATCTTCCTACAGAGATGCCCCCATAATTTACAAAACAGTTCCCTATGGTGTACATTCTCTCTTACTGTAATGAGTAATAAACAGAATTTGTTCAACTGTAGTGTGTTCCTGATAGGCTTTAGCTACAGAGCTTTCAAATAATCATATAAAAACATTGTGATATAAAGTCCAACTGCTTTTTATTTTTATTTCATTTTTCAACATTTATTTATTTTAATTGATGAGTAAAATTATATATATTCATTTTGTACATCGTATTGTTCTGAAACACACACATATTGTAGGATGGCTAAATCTAGCTAATTGACATATACATTACCTCACATATTTATCTTTTTTGTGGTAAGAATATTTAAAATCTATTTTATTAGCAATGTACAAGAATATAATGTTTTTATTAACCACAGTCAACATGCTATCTGTAAAATAGATCTCTTAAACTTATCCTTCCTATCTAACTGAAATTTTGTATCCTTTGACCAATATCTTCCTCACCCTTATATTTTATTAAAATTAGTTATTTCCAGTTTGATGAAATCCATTACTGTTTTAAAGCCCTGTTCTCTGTGGGTCACATAATAGTTTAAATTTTGAGAGATACTATGTATATTAGGCTAAATCGTATTAAGGAGTCAGTATAGGATCCTTGTAAGGGCATTGAATTTGATATGAGAACTGGATTTACAACATTCTAGAAGGAGGATTTTGGGGAAATGTGTTAATCACTCCGAGATTTTCCTTCCTTATTTGTAAATGAGGATAATAACTCTTAACAGTACTGTTTTAAGGATTCAATAATGGAGCTTTTTATAAACTAAGACATGTCCTGTAAATAGGAAAGACTTTCAAAATAGTGATGGTAGAGGTTGGAGGGAATTGATTGAATGCACATATCCTTTTGTCGCCCCTTTTTTTTAATTCATGAGAAACAGAAAGAAAAGAGAAGGACAATTAGTTTACTTTAGACCAAGATTGGACTCCAGTTTTTTTGACTCCTAGTCTAGCACCCTCTATACTGCATGGAACCTCTTTTCTATTTTATTTATTTTTGCTTCTATGTAATAAAAAAATCTAGTAAATGATTTTTGATACACTATACTATCTTCCGGGATTAACTCCTCAGAATCCTCCAAACAATTTGCAAAGTTAATGACTCCTGAGTATTTGTAAGCTTATGGTTAAGCCAAGTGAAGCCACAAAAGTATATAAAAAATAATTTCCAGACTTTCCATATCCAAATGATTCTTGAAGAGTTACCTCCCACCCTTGTTTATAGTATGTTGACCACCTTCTTTCTATCCAAGATTCAAGGTCTTATTTCATCATGATTTCACCTGTTGTGATTGGGATCTGTGCATTTTGTTTGTTCTGCCCAGCAGTATATGTTTAAAATAATAATAATGATAATAATAATAATAATAATAATAATAATAATAATAATAATATTGGAGCCTGAGAAAAGTATTCTCTTCACTGATTGTAAATTGCTATCTGTTTGCCTCTCAGCTCCTTGTTCTGGTTACTTATTCTTTCTAACATGCTTGACTGCACAAATCACAGAATAGAGGGATAAAGTGATCTTTTGGAATCTGTATTTGCTATGTTCCAAGCTCAGTTACCATATGGCACACAGAAGCCCAGAGCCTTAAGTCTCAAACAGAATTTTTTTGTTTTTCTTTCTTCCTTACCATTTTAACAATGTGTCTTTCATCACTTCTGAAGTGAGTCTTTATTGAAGAAATTGTGTGTATGTGTGTGTGTGTGTCTTTGTGCACATGCCCCCATGTATTGTGTATGAAGTGAGTGATGGGGGGGCACCAAAACTGTTATAAGAAGCAACATTTTATGCTATAGGCAAAGACAGTACTTTAGGTGTTGTAAATAATCAGATATTTTTGTGAGCCTTCTGAATATTGCTCAGGAATTGATTACTCAAACGTATGCATTACTCTTCTTCTATCTTATCAGAATAAATGTTTATTATAGCATTACTTAAAAGGTTTTGGATAATGAGAATTGGCTGCAAGGTAAATGAAAGACGAGACAAATGGTCACGTGAGACTTTTCTCCATTCATTTCCTCATTCACTTTTCACACAATTTTTAGACCTATTTAGTGTCACAGACTCTGCTCTGGGCAAGAGAATGCAGAGTGAACAAGACATAGGACTACCCCTATTATGAAGCAAGTATAGGGAAACACATGACAGGTAGACAAATTGCTGTGTGTTGATAGTGACAATTCTATCATTCCTCTGAGCTTTGTAGATGAGGCATCTTCCATGCAGTCCACTACATAGACTGAGCTTCATTAGTTGTACACTTCTTGGATTCCATTGATAAAGCCTCAAGGAATGCAAACCAAATTGGATATTAATGTAGATATATTCTTAGGAAGACTCATCGGCTTTTCAGGTTAACATATGACATTGTTTTTTGTGTGTTTGTTTGTGATGGAGTCTTCCCTGTTTCCCCGACTGGAGTGTAATGGCTTGATCTCGGCTCACTGCAACCTCCGCCTCCCAGGTTCAAGCCATTCCCCTGCCTCAGCCTCCTGAGTAGCTGGGATTACAGGCAAGTGCCACCACAGCCGGCTAATTATTATTATTATTATTTGTATATTTAGTAGAGACAAAGTTTCACTATGTTGATCAGGCTGGTCTCAAACTGCTGACCTCGTGATATGCCTGCCTCAGCTTCCCAAAGACTAGGATTACAGGCGTGTCCCACTGCATCCAGCCAACATATGACATTCCTGAATCAAATATTAATGGTCATAAATTTATCTGGCCACTGATGAGGACTTTGGTATAGGTAACAGAATTGTGAGGAAATTTTGTAACTAATACAATATTATTTAACCTGAATCTGTTGCCAAAAAACCGGAAAATGTAAAATCTTGTGAAAAGAAAACAAATTGCAAAAGCAGAGGAGGCTTTGGAGGTTTTACTGATAAGGAAATTGAACCTTAAGAATTTAAATGATGTTGCCAGGATCACCAGCTGGTAAATATTGGCGTTTCAAACATCAACTCATTTAATTCTTTCAACAACTTTTTATTTTAAGTATGACTATTATTTATATGTTACAAATAAGGTGACTGAGGTCCAGAAAAGGTATGTAACTTGGCCAGGGCAATGTGGCTAAAAAGTGTCAGAACCAGGATTCAGGACAAGAAGTTTGACTCCAGAGCCCATCCTTTTAATTTTACACCATTCTGTCTCCCCAGGAATAGCTGTACTCAGTATCCAGACTTCACTTCCCTCAACCCCTCCCACTTTTCTTTTCATTATATTCTGTTGCCAAGCACACACACACACACACACACACACACACACACAAACAACTGCTAAAAAACATGTATTCCCCCCTATAAAACATTTTAAACATAAGCATGTATATGTGTATACATTCTTTGCTTCTCAATGGGTCTGCAGAATGCTGATTGATAAATGACTAAATCAGAGAGCAAAAGAGACTGATTCTGTTTTATCATCAGCCAATAATAGGAAGCTTCCTCTAGGCATTCTAAGCATAAGGCAAGATGAATGGTGTGCTAATTACCTCTAGCGCTATCAGCCTGCTGCCCTTTCTTTGTGGCCAAGAATGAAAGAGTTTAGATCTTGCCTAACAATATGGTCCCCTGGCCTGTTTACAAGGCTCCAAGAGGGCTTTTGCAACATGAGCATATGGACATTTTGCGATATTTACAGGGGGAAATGTATGCTGATTAGCATACAATCTACAAATGGCTTCATGTTGCAAGCTTCTTCAATTTATTTGCATAGGTATTGTTGCTCATCCTGCATTTGGATATATATTTTTTAATTTGAAGAAAATATTTTACTCAATTATAACCTGAGATATGACTTTTCTAGTGAATTTAAAAGAAAATAGTGTTAATATAGTATAGTACAAAAAATATTGGTCTTAGAGTCAGAAATCATGAAGTTGAGTCCCATTTTTCCCCTGCACATTAGTTATCCTTTCTTCATAGCTGGAGAAAATCAAATCATCAGCCCCCCTAGTTTAATTTTAATGCTCTCAAAACTCAAATTAGGTGCCAATACTTTCTGGAGTTTCCACTGTTTTTCTATGCAAGTTCACTTTTTCAATATCTGTAACTCATTTTCATATCTTCCCTTTCCTTAAACTTTATATACCCACCTGTCTCACTCTCCTTATTTCCAGCTGTACACCTCACTGAGAAAATGGGAGGAAGCTATGAAAAGAAACCTGCTCGATCTTTGACTGTGACATCTCCAAGCTTCATGTTAATATATCCATTTTCTTTACTTCAAACCAAAAAAGTGTCCCCATTCCTATGATGGGGCAGTCCCTCCACAATTGCACTGGGTCCCATTCTCCTTCACCTCCCAAGGATTTTGCTCTTTCAGTTGTACCACCTTTCTCTTGCAACATCAGTTTCTCCTGTATTGGATCATGTCTGTTAACACTCAAATATGTTAAAATAATACCATCTTCAAAATAATTTAAGAAAATACTTACTCACCCTAAATCTCTATCTGCAGTCTAATTTATCTGCTCTCCTCACTGCAAAACCTCTTATAAGAGTTGTTGACCAGTGGCAGTGGCTCACACTTGCAATCCCAGAGCTCTGGGAGGCCAATGTGGGTGACCGGGAGATCAAGACCATCCTGGCCAACATGGTGAAACCTGTCTCTTCTAAAACTACGAAAATACAACAAAAATTAGCCAGGCGTGGAGACTGATGCAGGAGAATTGGTTTAACCTGGGAGGCGGAGGTTGCAGTGTGCCAAGATCATACCACTGCACTCCAGCCTGGGTGACAGAGTAAGATTCCATCTCAAAAAAAAAAAAAAAAAAAAAAACAAAGAAAAGAAAAAGAAAAAGAAAAAAAAGAGTTGTTGTCAATACTCACTGTTTCTTTTTCTCAAAATTCTGGTCACTCCTTAAACCACTCCAAATTTCTATCTGTCCACTCCATAGATCTCGCTTTTGTCAAAGTCATCAGTGACTTCCATATTTCCAATTTAATGGTCATCTATCACTCTTAAAGTGTTAGTCATTTTCTCTTTGTTTGAACATCTTCTTCCCTTGTTTTTTGTAATGTCTCATTTAACTTTGTTTTCTTCCTACCTCACTGACTTCTCTTTATCACTCTCCTTTACTGGCTCCTACTTAATTCAACCTCTAAACATTTGTCCTAGGCTCTCTACTTATTTGCGACATTCACTAGATTCTACCTAACCTCTGCTTCCAATATGCTGTTTCCTTAACTATGTATGCACCATTTTTATTTCCTTCATACTTAGCATTTATCAAAGCTGATTAGACATAGTTTGTGAAAAAATATAGTTGTGGATTAGATTGGAAACCAGCTTCTGATCAGATTTTATACACCTTGAAAACTCAGGTTTACAGTCTCTCTCTTATAGTCATCAACTACCAAATATAACTTTTAAAGCAGGTTGAATTTATACAAACAGGAACAGAATATGGAAGACAATGGATGTCAAGTGTATCAGTTAAGAGTTTGAGTGTTGTAACATCTTAATGTTAGGTGAACATGACCTGAATTAGGTATTTTGTGGGAATACAAATGTAACAAACAACAAAAGACATTCAAAAATACTTGACAAGAGTAGGCAAAAGACTGAATATAAGGGTTAAAAACAGAGAATTGTACCTCCCCATGATTTTTAACCCAAATGACTTGGAGGATAAAATGCTGCTAATATTGGTAATGAACACATTTCTCTCCAGAGATTGACTGACTCCAAATTTAAAGCCAAATTTACTTTTATGGCTATGCTTAAACTAACATAGTAATATATTGGTCTGATTCCTTCTATGAAATCTTCTTGAAAAATAAATATACTTGTATTCAGATTTCTGTGTTTTCTGTTTTCATCTTTCTACTGTAGCTGAAGATCACTTTGTGGCTTTTTCTTGTTTTTTTTCTGAAAGGCTATTGCAAAAGCAATGAAGTTGTGACCTCGTTCTGTGGCAGGACAAGTATGGTCTAGAGGGAAAACTGACTTGGAGCAACAGATGTGGTTTTAGACATGTTGGGTTTAAGGTGGTGTTAAGATATCCCACTGAAAATGGCAGTTATGGAACTATGACTCAAGGTCAGGGAACACTCTGAATAGTGAATGCAGGCTGGAAAGTTATTCAACCATGATATACTGACCTGGATACACATAGCTAGTGGTATCCTAAATATTTAGGCTTGGGTTTACATTTCACAATTAGCAGATGACATAATAAAGCCAATCAAAGAGAGAGAGAAGATGCCAGCAGAAGGGGAAAGAAAAGAAGGGAGTGAACAGCCAAGGGACACACTTTGCAAGGCTCAGTCAACTTGACTATACTGAATTTTGTGGAGAGTTGTCAAAGGAAGTAAAGAAAGAAGATTTTGTAATGATCAGGTTGACCTTGAAGAGTATATTTTCAGTGGAGTAGTCGGGGCAGGATTCTTGTGGAAAATGAGATGAGTGAATAATGATGAAAAGGAGATAAGCAAACATGAGAAAAGATAAATAGCTTTAGGGAGGTGTTTTCAAGGGAAAGTATTTTTTAATAACATTAATAGCTTATTGCGTTATTCAGTGAAAAATGATATGTGCCCACTGTAGGATTTAGAAATACAAAAAGTACAAAGAAGGACGTAAAAAAAAAAAACACATGAAATGCAACAATACAAAAAAAACTACCCTTATTGTTTTGATAAACATACTTGCCAGTTTCAATTAATAGAGCATAGAATTGATTGAAAAGAGTATGTTAAGTTTTTTTTGGAAAATAAATGCTAAACACACAATGTTAATATTTATTTAAAATACATTTCTTGACCGGGCACGGTGGCTCATGCCTGTACACAGTGGCTCATGTCTGTAATCTCAGCACTTTGGGAGGCCAAGCCATGTGGATCACCTGAGGTTGGGAGTTTCAGATCAGCCTGACCAACATGGAGAAACCCCATCTCTACTTAAAATACAAAATTAGCTGGGCATTGTGTCACATGCTTGTAATCCCAGCTACTCAGGTGGCTGAGGCAGGGGAATCGCTTGAACCCAGGAGACAGGTGGAAGTGAGCCAAGACTGCGCCATTGCACTCTAGCCTGGGCAACTAGAGCAAAACTCCATTTCACACACACACACACACACACACACACACACACAGAATAGAAAAAAAAGAAAATATGTTTCTTTTTTTATATATATATACTTTAAGTTTTAGGGTATATCTGCACAATGTGCAGGTTAGTTACATATGTATACATGTACCATGTTGGTGTGCTGCACCCATTAACTCGTCATTTAACATTAGGTATATCTCCTAATGCTATCCCTCCACCCTCCCTCCGCCCCACAACAGGACTTGGTGTGTGATGTTCCCCTTCCTGTGTCCACGTGTTCTCATTGTTCAATTCCCACCTATGAGTGAGAACATGCGGTGTTTTGTTTTTTGTCCTTGCAACAGTTTGCTGAGAATGATGGTTTCCAATTTCATCCATGTCCTTACAAAGGGCATGAACTCATCCTTTTTTATGGCTGCATAGTATTCCATGGTGTATATGTGCCACATTTTCTTAATCCAGTCTATCATTATTGGACATTTGGGTTGGTTCCAATTCTATTCTATTGTGAATAGTGCCCCAATAAACATAAATGTACATGTGTCTTTATAGCAGCATGATTTATAATCCTTTGGGTATATACCCAGTAATGGGATAGCTGGGTCAAATGGTATTTCTATTTCTAGATCCCTGAGGAATCGCCACACTGACTTCCACATGGTTGAACTAGTTTACAGTCCCACCAACAGTGTAAAAGTGTTCCTATTTCTCCACATCCTCTCCAGCAAGTGTTGTTTCCTGACTTTTTAATGATCACCATTCTAACTGGTGTGAGATGGTATCTCATTGTGGTTTTGATTTGCATTTCTCTGATGGCCAGTGATGATGAGCATTTTTTCATTTGTCTTTTGGCTCCATAAATGTCTTCTTTTGAGAAGCGTCTGTTCATATCCTTTGCCCACTTTTTGATGGGGTTGTTTGTTTTTTCTTGTAAATTTGTTGGAATTCATTGTAGATTCTGGATATTAGTCCTTAGTCAGATGAGTAGATTGCAAAAATTTTCTCCCATTCTGTAGGTTGCCTGTTCACTCTGATGGTAGTTTATTTTGCTGTGCAGAAGCTCTTTAGTTTAATTAGATCCCATTTGTCAATTTTGTCTTCTGTTGCTATTGCTTTTGGTGTTTTAGGCATGAAGTCCTTGCCCATGCCTATGTCCTGAATGGTATTGCCTGGTTTTCTTCTAGGGCTTTTATGGTTTTAGGTCTAACATGTAAGTCTTTAATCCATCTTGAATTAATTCTTGTATAAGGTGTAAGGAAGGATCCAGTTTCAGCTTTCTACATATGGCTAGCCAGTTTTCACAGCACCATTTATTAAATAGGGAATCCTTTCCCCATTGCTTATTTTTGTCAGGTTTGTCAAAGATCAGATGGTTGTAGACATGTGGCATAATTTTGAGGGCTCTATTCTGTTCCATTGATCTATATCTCTGTTTTGGTACCAGTACCATGCTGTTTTGGTTACTGTAGCCTTGTAGTATAGTTTGAAGTCAAGTAGCGTGATGCTTTCAGCTTTGTTTTTTTGGCTTAGGATTGACTTGGCAATGTGGGCTCTTTTTTGGCTCCAAGTAAACTTTAAAGTAGTTTTTTCCAATTCTGCGAAGAAAGTCATTGGTAGCTTGATGGGGATGGCATTGAATCTATAAATTACCTTGGGCAGTATGGCCATTTTTATGATATTGATTCTTCCTACCCATGAGCATGGAATGTTCTTCCATTTGTTTGTTTATATCCTCTTTTATTTCACTAAGCAGTGGTTTGTAGTTCTCCTTGAAGAGGTCCTTCGTGTCCCTTGTAAATTGGATTCCTAGGTATTTTATCCTCTTTGAAGCAATTGTGAATGGGAGTTCACTCATGATTTGGCTCTCTGTTTGTCTGTTATTGGTGTATAAGAATGCTTGTGATTTTTGCATATTGATTTTTTATCCTGAGACTTTGCTGAAGTTGCCTATGAGTTAAGGAGATTTTGGGCTGAGACGATGGGGTTTTCTAGACATACAATCATGTCATCTGCAAACAGGGACAATTTTAGTTCCTCTTTTCCTAATTGAATACCCTTTATTTCCTTCTCCTGCCTGACTTCCCTGGCCAGCAGTTCCAACACTATGTTGAATAGGAGTGGTGAGAGAGGGCATCCCTGTCTTGTGCCAGTTTTCAAAGGGAATGCTTCCAGTTTTTGCCCATTCAGTATGATATTGGCTGTGGGTTTGTCATGGATAGCTCTTGTTATGTTGAGATATGTCCCATCAATACCTAATTTATTGACAGTTTTTAGCATGAAGCATTATTGAATTTTGTCAAAGGCCTTTTCTGCATCTATTGAGGATAATCACATGGTTTTTGTTGTTGGTTCTGTTTATATGCTGGATTATGTTTATAGATTTGCATATGTTGAACCAGCCTTGCATCCCAGGAATGAAGCCCACTTGATCATGGTACATAAGCTTTTTGATGTGCTGCTGGATTCAGTTTTCCAGTATTTTATTGAGGATTTTTGCATTGATGTTCATCAGAGATATTGGTCTAAAATTCTCTTTTTCTGTGGTGTCTCTGCCAGGCTTTGGTATCAGGATGATGCTGGCCTCATAAAATGAGTTAGGGAGGATTTCCTCTTTTTCTATTGATTGGAATAGTTTCAGAAGGAAGGGTACCAGCTCCTCCTTGTATCTCTGGTAGAATTCAGCTGGGAATCCATCTGGTCCTGGACTTTTTTTGGTTGGAAAGCTATTAATTATTGCCTCAATTTCAGAGCCTGTTATTGGTCTATTCAGAGATTCAACTTCTTCCTGGTTTAGTCTTGGGAGGGTGTATGTGTCAAGTAATTTATCCATTTCTTCTAGAATTTCTAGTTTATTTACGTATAGGTGTTTATAGTATTCTCTGATGGTAGTTTGTATTTCTGTGGAATCAGTGGTGATGTCCACTTTATCATTTTTTACTGCTTCTATTTGATTTTTCTCTCTTTTCTTCTTTATTAGTCTTGCTTCCAACTGAGGTACCAGGCTAATCTCACTGGGGAGTGTGCAGGACAGTGCAGGACAGTGGTTGCAGTGGACCCAGTGTGCACCGAAGAAGGGCGAGGCATCATGTCACCTGGGAAGCGCAAGGGGTCATGGAATTCCCTTTCCTAGTCAAAGAAAGTGGTGAGAGATAGCACCTGGAAAATCGGGTCACTCCCACCCTAATACTGTGCTTTTCCAATGGTCTTAGCAAACAGCACACCAGGAGATTATATCCCGCACATGGCTTGGAGGCTCCTATGCCCATGGATCCTCGCTCATTGCTAGCACAGCAGTCTGAGATCAAACGGTGAGGCAGTAGCGAGGCTGGGGGAGGGGTGCCTGCCATTGCTGAGGCTTGAGTAGGTAAACAAAGCCGCCAGGAACCTTGCACTAGGTGGAGCCCACTCCTCGCACTAGGAGACCTCCAGGAGGTCTTCCTGCCTCTTTAGACTCCACCTCTGGGGGCAGGGAATAGCCAAACAAAAGGCAGCAGAATCCTCTGCAGACTTAAATGTCCCTGTGTGACAGCCTTGAAGAGAATAGTGGTTCTCCCAGCACGCAGCTGGAGCTGTGAGAACAGACAGACTGCCTCCTCAAGTGGGTCCCTGAACCCTGAGTAGCCTAACTCAGAGGCACCCCAAGTAGGGGCAGACTGATACCTCACATGACGAGGTAGTCCTCTGAGACAAAACTTACAGAGGAACTATCAGGCAGCAACATTTGCTGCTCACCAATATCCGCTGTTCTGCAGCCTCCACTGCTGATACCCAGGCAAACAGGTCTAGAGTGGACCTCCAGCAAACTCCAACAGAACTGCAGCTTAGGGTCTTGACTGTTAGAAGGAAAACTAACAAACAGAAATGACATCCACACCAAAACCCCATCTGTACGTCACCATTGTCAGAGACCAAAGGTAGATAAAACCACAAACATGGGGAAGAAACAGAGCAGAGAAATTGGAAACTCTAAAAATCAGAATGTGTCTCCTCCTTCAAAGGAACGCAGCTCCTCATGAGCAATGGAACAAAGCTGGATGGAGAATAACTTTGACGAGTTGTGAGAAGAAGCCTTCAAACGATCAAACTACTCTGAGCTAAAGGAGGAAGTTTGAATCCATGGAAAGAAGTTAAAAATCTTGAAAAAAATTAGACAAATGGCTAACTACAATAACCAATGCCGAGAAGTCCTTAAAGGACCTGATAGAGCTGAAAACCAAGGCACGAGAACTACGTGGTGAATGCACAAGCCTCAGTAGCCGATTCGATCAACTGGAAGAAAGGGTATCAGTGATGGAAGATCAAATGAATGAAATGAAGTGAGAAGACAAGTTTAGAGGAAAAGGAAATGAACAAAGCCTCCAAGAAATATGGGACTATGTGAAAAGACCAAATCTGCGTCTGACTGGTGTACCTTAAAGTGACAGGGAGAATGGAACCAAGTTGGAAAACACTCTGCAGGATATTATCCAGGAGAACTTCCCCAATCTAGCAAGGCAGGCCAACATTCAGATTCAAGAAATACAGAGAATGCCACAAAGATAGTCCTCGAGAAGAGCAACTCCAAGACACATAATTGTCAGATTCACCAAAGTTGAAATGAAGGAAAAAATGTTAAGTGCAACCAGAGAGAAAGGTCGGGTTACCCACAAAGGGAAGCCCATCCGACTAACAGCTGATCTCTCGGTAGAAACTCTACAAGCCAGAAGAGACTGGGAGCCAATATTCAACATTCTTAAAGAAATAATTTTCAACCCAGAATTTCATATCCAGCCAAACTAAGCTTCATATGTGAAGGAGAAATACAATCCTTTACAGACAAGCAAATGCTGAGAGATTTTGTCACCACCAGGCCTGCCCTAAAAGAGCTCCTGAAGGAAGCACTAAACATGGAAAGGAACAACTGTTCCCAGCCACTGCAAAAACATGCCAAATTGTAAAGACCGTCAAGGCTAGGAAGAAACTGCATCAACTAACGAGCAAAATAACCAGCTAACATCAGAATGACAGGATCAAATTCACACATGATAATATTAACCTTAAATGTAAATGGGCTAAATGCCCCAATTAAAAGACACAGACTGGCAAATTGGATAATGAGTCAAGACCTATCAGTGTGCTGTATTCAGGAAACCCATCTCACCTGCAGAGACACACATAGGCTCAAAATAAAGGGATGGAGGAAGATCTACCAAGCAAATGGAAAACAAAAAAAAGCAGGGGTTGCAATCCTAGTCTCTGATAAAACAGACTTTAAACCAAGAAAGATCAAAAGAGACAAAGAAGGCTATTACATAATGGTAAAGGGATCAATTCAACAAGAAGAGCTAACTATCCTAAATATATATGCACGCAATACAGGAGCACCCAGATTCATAAAGCAAGTCCTTAGAGACCGACAAAGAGACTTAGACTCCCACACAATTATAATGGGAGACTTTAAAACCCCACTGTCAACATTAGACAGATCAAGGAGACAGAAAGCTAACAAGGATATCCAGAAATTGAACTCAGCTCTGCACCAAGCGGACCTAATAAACATCTACAGAACTCTGCACCCCAAATCAACAGAATATACATTCTTCTCAGCACCACATTGCAGTTATTCCAAAAGTGACCACATAGTTGGAAGTAAAGAATGCCTCAGCAAATGTGAGAGAACAGAAATTATAACAAACTGTCTCTCAGACCACAGTGCAATCAAACTAGAACTCAGGATTAAGAAACTCACTCAAAACTGCTCAACGACATGGAAACTGAACAACCTGCTCCTGAATGACTACTGGGTACATAACGAAATGAAGGCAGAAATAAAGATGTTCTTTGAGACCAACAAGAACAAAGACACAACATACCAGAATCTCTGGGATACATTCAAAGCAGTGTGTAGAGGGAAATTTATACCACTAAATGACCACAAGAGAAAGCAGGAAAGATCTAAAATTGACACCCTAACATCACAATTAAAAGAACTAGAGAAGCAAGAGCAAACACATTCAAAAGCTAGCAGAAGGCAAGAAATAACTAAGATCAGAGCAGAACTGAAGGAAATAGAGACACAAAAAGCCCTTCAAAAAATCAATGAATCCAGGAGCTTGTTTTTTGAAAAGATCAACAAAATTGATAGACTGCTAGAAAACTCATTTCTTAATGAAATGCGTGGTATTGTTCCTGTCCTCTTCTCATTTACTTTCATTCTCTATTTTAGGCATAGATAACTATTACTAAATGCCAGAGTGAGGCTGGATTCATTATTGGTTCAATTTTTATTTTTTTCTTTCTATGGATGGAAGTGTCAAAAAGAGACTTTGTTCCCATGAATATGTATTTAGGAATGGAAGAAGGAATTTTTAAAGGAATTTCACTCAATTCTTTGAATTCTTCATGAATTAAATACTGAAAACTATACACATGACAACTGCAAGTCATTCAATTTTGTTGAAAACAAAGCAATGAAAATTGCTTGACTTACAAGAAGAGTTACTATCTAGCCTTTAGAATTGTTCACATTGTGAAGCCAATGACTAACATTTCCAATGTTAGCAGGTAAACTGAGGCACATTTTTAAAGAGTTTGAGCAAGAAATATTCCCTGAATTGAGCAGCTCCAAACTAGAAGCCATTCAGGAGTTCCATCAAGGGAAGACAATGGGGAGAATTTTATAAAACACACACAAAAGTAAAGCAGATGGCATTTAATTGTTTACAATTATACAGTTGCCTCATTTGATCTATCCCATTGGAAAGTCCTGATTATATAAGTTTGTTAACTGCTTCTGATTGGTTGAGTTTACATTCGGTTTATTTATGATATAAACATTTACAAGAAATAGCTCAACTTAAGTTTTGCTTATGTTTGCAAATCAAGCAAGGTTGAGGTCACTTCTGAGGCCTAACTGTTGTTTTTCTTCTAAGAGATTCTTCAAGTCTTGTCTCTATTTTAATTTGCGTCAGCTTTAATAAACCTCTTGTCCTTGGTGTGTGTCTTTTTTGTTTGTTTTTATTTTTACCTTTTTATTTTAAGATAAAACTCAGATATGGAAACCACACAAGTGTATGGTTTTATTTCTGCCATGCAGATGTAAAGCAACAGGATATTGCCAACCAAACTAGTATTCCAATGCAGATGCCTTGTCCAAATCACCATTCCCTTCAGACCTTTTCCACAAAACTGAGACATTTGTCTGCATTATTAGGAAGCCACTCAGTGGCCAAGGAAGAAATGAATACCAAAGACAGTTAGACTAAGAAGAAATACATGATGAATCAAGGTCTTGAAGAAGGCATGAGTAGAAAGAATCAGATAAATTCTACATCACTGACAAAGTTTAGTCTTGGAAAACTGAAATTTCTCTTGGTGCAAGTCAGAGAAAAGAAAAGAGAGGACAAATTCATTCAACCTGTCATTTAAGGAAGATTTATTCAGGCCCTTATTACTTGACAGCAGTGTAGAAAGCACTGGAGAGAGATTTTAAAGAGGAAAATAAACTGTACTTGGGCTCTCCAGCTAGATGGACTTAATTGCTTCGAAAAAGGAGGAGATGAGGTTGTGGTTCTCAATAAAAGCTGTTTAGGAGATTGTGGATTTGGACATGTGAAGAGTGGGAACAAAATTTCAAAAAGCTACAGTCGAGAAAGCCCTGCAGAATCAATACATTTTATTTGCAGGACTCTGGAAACAGCCAAGTCTACCATTTTGTTTTAAAAGCTAAGCTTGGAATGCTTATATCAGACACCACAGTGAATCTAATTGATTCTATTTTTATAATTGGACCTACTGCTGGAGTGATTCCAAAACAAACATACCAAATTAAAGCACAAACACTAATAAAACATAACAGGAGCAGAATGCTGCAAACTCAAATTGCTTATTTAAAAGAATGATTAGGTTTAAAATGTTAGCACATCAGAAAACAATTTTCCTCTACTAACATCAGTTCTGAAGGTCAGCTAATCAGAAATATATAGAATTAGGACAGGCAGTGAATTCAATAAAGTAGACCTTGCAGTAAAATAAACTTCGCTGCAGGCCCATGCTATTGGAATTAGAAAGGCGTCATCAATCATATGCCTGCAGATCAGAGGTCTCAGTGAGCCAGTGAAAATTCTCATGTTTAGAGTCCACCTGTTAACAACATGTCATCTTTTTACATGTCTTATTTGATGCAATATTTAACTGTCTCTTTAAGAGTGCTAAAAAATACTAGGATGCTTGAACATTTTTAAAACAAAAATATACAAATGAGGTAGGCAGTGGGATTTCTTTTGTGTCTTCCTTTGTTTGAGCAAGACAGCCTTTTTTTTCTTTCAATCCTTTCCTTCTGTTCTCATAAATTAATCTGCATTTGTGATTTTAGATTTGTGCAGAGTGGAGTGTGATTACTGAGGTCTTAATCAACATTCAGGCTGACAGAGAACAGTTGAAGCAGCTATTGCCTGTTGTGCAGAGAGATATGTTTATTGTAAATGCTGTGGGCTCTCTGAAAAGTTGGGAGGATAGGCCTTTGAAACTGATGAAGGTGGCAAAGTGCTGCTTTAGATCTCTATATAGCTGACAGTACTGCAAGGGTCACTTGGGAAAGGAAGACTTATTTGTAAGATTTTTGAATGGAAGATAAAAAAGGAAATTATTTTACTTCAAATATGATATGTTTTCTAATTATTAACTGAATTATAGAATTTGAATTGGAAGCAATTTCATAAGGCAATCAGTCTAGTGATTTCCCAATACTGATTTCCAGACAGACACAAGACTGGGAGAATATTTTCACTAATACTTGGCAGAATTAAAAAAAAAATAAGATATCAGTATAGACAGACTTTCAATGAAGCTAGATTTGTTATTTGATTTTAATCTTAATATTACATTATTTTTATCTGTAGTCCTAAAATACTCCTTCTTCTTTTAGATGACAGATGTATATGATGGGATATGTAAATGCTCTTAGATTAAATGAAACGATCATTGTTCTTTTGGAAACTGGAGTAGGGCTAATGTGAAGCTAGACTAGAAAGTAGGCAGCATGTGGTTTGAGGAACAAGATCTTCTTGTACCTGAGCTCTTTCTTCCCTATGTACTCAATATCCTTATTTTGCTATGCAGTGTACAGTGTCATGTTGTTCCCTACTCCCTTCTTTCCCAAACAGAAACCAACTTTGAAAAAGAATCAGCTTTCAGCCACTTATCCAACTCACAGGCAAAGTGAGAGTGCACTGTAGGTGCTAGAAACCGCAATCCACTGCTCTCAATTTTATTTTCTCATGTATGTTAATCCCTCCCTCTCTACCAACTCAGTATACATATACATTTGCGATCTAAATTCTTACATTGCTTTTATAAATTAGAATTTTTCCCGTTGTTTACCCCCCGGCCACCTACCCCTTCATTACTTTTCTCCACTGAGCACGCTGTACCCACTTCCCTCGTTTCTTCCCACTGGCTTTTCAGTTCAGTTCAATTTGGTTTTGGTCTCATTCCACTGGAACTACTTTTATCAAGGACAGAATTCCCATCTGTACTATGAAAACTGCTGGTTACTTTACCATTTTCCTCTTAGTCAAATTCTCAGCATTATTCTGCACATTAGCAACTCTCTGTTCTTCAAACACAGAACTATTCCAAAATTGTCCTATTTTAGAGATTTGGCAGATTTTTTTCCCTCTTTTTCAATGGCTACTCTTTCTGATATCTCACAAAAGACTTCTTTGGAGAAAGCTTCACTTAGTGCCCAATATACAGTAGTTCTGTCTGTTATACCAACCATCACTACTGTCTGTTACACTCTTTCAAAATCCCAAAATTTCCTTCACAGCATTTACAACTGCTTGTGTCTTTTATTTATTATCTGTCTCTCCCTGTAAATAAAGCTTTATGAAGTCAGGGACCATTAACCCCATATTCATTGCTGTACCTCCAGAACCCAGCACAGTGCTTGTTGCATAGTAATAAATATTTATGGCATATTTATTATTCAATGAATCATAAATCTTAATAATCTTGAATAATAATAAAGATTAATAATAATATTGAATCTTAATAAAGATTCCTTGAATAATTTGATGGATAGATGAATGCCAAGAATCCCACAATATTTTTTACTAGCCTCAACTTGAAAACTCATGCCAAGACTTTTGTACCTTATCTTTGCAATGATTCTTGCATCTGTCTCTTTCTTCCAGTCCTTGCTTCAACTTTCCTTGCCCAGTTCACCATCATCTATTAGTTTAACCATTTAATAAAACTCATAACTCACCTTCTGTCTTCTCTTGCTGATCTTCAACCCATCCTATATATTGCAATTAGTCTTACAACCTTCGTGAAACTCTGATCTTATTTTCCTATGAAACAAAAACAACAACAACAAAAACTTGCCTTTGTGTACACAGTTTGTTCTATACTTTCTATCCTGGCATTTCTGGGTCTTGAAGACCTGGCTTTAACTGATACCAGCTCTAAGTGATCATAATGTTCCATGTATTTGCCTAGCTTTTTTTGTGTGTGTACTTCTCTTTCGAAACTTTTATGACTCAACGTTGTGTTATTACAGCATTTAATAGAATGAGAACATGATGAGGGCAGATACATGGTATGTTTTCTAATCTCAGTACTTATGCAACTCTATGCATATTTACTGAATAAATCATTGTGTGAAACTCTTCTTGAAGTTCTGTGTTCAGTATCAGAGAGAATATAGAATATAAAAATGATTAATTGCAAACCCTATATAGTGTTTGTGTGTAACTAAAAATACTGAATTCTGTACATTTTGTTTAAGGCAATGGATATGACTTATTAGCTGTGCTACTGTTAAATATTGTTGTGTAACTGATGCCTGCAGTTTCCTGAGCCAAAAGAGGAAAAATCTTGTCCTTAGAAATTTTTCGACTGAAGTCCTCCAATTAATTAGAAGACCCTTAGCAAAAAAAAAAAAAAAAAAAAACTGTTGGTGCATGTGGCCTTTTGCACAGAAAGATCTGCAAGATATGAAGAGAACAATAGCCTCAGGAAGTACACTCAGAAGATGAAACTGTATAATGTGAAAAATCCCACTCTGAATATTTCTAGCACAGGCTGACTACCTGCAGTTCCTGATATTGACCCTTAAGCATGCTGCTCAGAATTCCATTGTAGAGGAATTAAAGTGGCCAAGCATATATGTGTGTGTGTGTGTGTGTGTGTGTGTGTGTGTGTATGAGAGGGAGTTTCACTCTTTCCTATATATGTATATGTGTGTGTATATGTACATATACATGTATATGTACATATACATGTATATGTATACACACACACACACACACACACACACACATTCATATATGAGACAGAGACTCAGTTTGTTGCCCAGACTGGACTGGAATGCAGAGGCTCAATCTCTGCACACTGCACCTTCAGCCTCCTGAGCTCAAGTGATCCTCCTGAGCAATCCTCTCACCTAAGCTTCCTGAGTAGCTGGGACCACAGGCACACACCACCAGTCCTGGCTAATTTTTTGTATTTTTTGTAGACACCGGGTTTCACCATATTTTCAAGCTGGTCTTGAACTCCTCAGTTCAAGTGACCCACCCACCTTGGCCTCTCAAAGTGATGGGATTACAGGCTTGAGCCACTGTGCCCTGCAACATATATTTCTAAATATTTTAAAATATTAATGTTGGCTGGGTGCGGTGGCTCAACTTGTAATCCCAGCACTTTGGGAGGCCAAGGTGGGTGGGTCACGAAGTCAGGAGTTGGAGACCAGCCTGGCCAATGCAGTGAAACCACGTCACTACTGAAAATACAAAAATTAGCTGGGCATGTTTGTGGGTGCCTGTAATCCCAGCTACTTGGGAGGCTGAGGCAGGAGAATCCCTTGAACCCAGGAGTCAGATGTTTCAGTGAGCTGAGGTTGCGCCAACGCACTCCAGCCTGGGCAACAGAGCTAGACACCATTTCAAAATAATAATAATAATAATAGTAATAATAATAATAATTTTTACTTGTATCATGCTGCATGAGAACAGTGTAATATAATTAAGGGCAGATGAGTAGATAGGAACTTACTGTCATGGATTATTGTTCTTAACATAGTTGCTCTCAATTTTGAATGCACATTAAAGTTATCTGCCAAGCTTACAAAAGCTCACATATCCAGAATCCATTGATCCCCATAAATTCTGATATAATTGGTCTAGGGTAGATCTCAGATGTGGGATGCTTTTTGTTAACTCCCCAGGTGAATCTAAGTTGTTTGTATGATTGAGAAGCATTTCTACTCATTAAAGATTGACATTCTGCTGTAAGTTATTCAGGAATAAAATAATTGATGTAGTGGTTGAGGGGCTTTTTGTCTCATTCTAACATAATTTTTCCTTCATGAAGCTATAAGCTTGAGGTTTGAGCACTCCACATTCAACACCTTTAGGGACATAGTGAAAGCACACACTGAGACCTCCGTATTTCCAACTGCCCCAAACAAGTTACCTGTCACAGATATTCTGTCCCTTTTCTCAGCTTTTAGAGCACTTTACGTATCTGGTTTTTTTTTGTTTTGTTTTGTTTTGTTTTGAGACAGAGTCTCGCTCTGTTGCCTAGGCTGGCATGCAGTGGCATGATCTCCGCTCACTGCAACCTCCACCTCCCAGCTTCAAGCAATTCTCCTGCCTGAGCCTCCCAAGTAGTTGGGACTACAGGCATGTGCCACCATGCCTGGCTAATTTTTGTATCTTTTGTAGAGACAGGGTTTTACCTTGTTTGCCAGGATGGTCTCAATCTCCTGAGCTCATGATCCTCCAACCTTTCCCTCCCAGAGTGCTGGGGTTATAGCCGTGAGCCACCATGCATGGACTACATATCTCTCTTTTTACATCATTTCTATTTGTCTCCCTTTGGATTGAGCTATCACTGAAGGCAGAAACAATGTCTTATTCACCTTTGATCACAGAAATTAGCACAAATGGATTCATTTTAGCTGGGAGAATGTTGAAGCTTAAGTCAACTTGCCTGGAATTTAAAGGTTTGCATATGCTAAAATTCTGGAGGATACAGTGCTTGCATCTTCTAACTATTACCCATACATTTAAATTTTTGACAGTCATTGCCCTTCTTCAGGTTACAATGTGAATACCAAGAAATACAACATTTCTCCTTAATAAAACATGACAACCTTGAGCTGTGATAGTCTGACACAAACACAATCAGTGTGGTGCTATCTTCTTCTCCAATATAATTTCTTCCAATTATTTTAATTATATGAGTTATAGAAATAAAATAAATAAGTAAAACAAAGGGGAATAAATTGTTGGCAAAATAATTAAAAAGTCTCAGAACTTCAGGATGCTTATTTATAGATTAAAAGGTGAACACCTAGCAAAATAGATGAAAATAGACTCATGTCAAGATATATCAATGTAAAATTTGGGAACACTGAGAACAAAGAGAAAATTGTGTAAGTTTCCAGAGAGGTAAAAATAGGTCAGGTACAAAGGATGAGGAATCAGATGATTTAAAAATTTTCAACATTGGCCAGGCATGGTGTCTCATGACTGTAATCCCAGCACTTTGAGAGGCCAAGGTGCACTCTGGGAGGCCAAGGCAGGCAAATCACCTTATGTCAGGAGTTTGAGACCATCCTGACCAACAGGGAGAAACCCCGTCTCTACTAAAAACACAAAATTATCCAGGCATGGTGGTGCGTGCCTGTAATCCCAGCTACTGGGGAGGCTGAGGCAGGAGAATTGCTTGAACCCAGGAGGTAAAGGTTGCAATGAGCTGAGATCATGCCATTGCACTCCACTCTGGGCAACAAGAGCGAAACTCCATCTCAAATAAAAAAAAAAAAATCAACTCCACCACTATAAAGCAGAAGGCAATGAATTACGGAGTTCTGATTTGAAAATTCTAAAAGAAAATGATTTCTGATATACATTGTTATTTCCACATAGACTAAAATCAAATGTACAAGGAGAAAACATACATTTCTCAGAAATATGACAACTCTGAAATTTTGTCTCCCTGTGAAACTTTTCTCAAGAAACTACTAGAGATTTCTTCCAACCAGAAGGAAGAAGTAAACCAAGACAGACAAAGATTCTGAAATGCAGAAAATAAGAGACACAACAAAAGAGAAATAAATTCTTAAAAGCGTAGTGAATGAAATTCCTAGGATGAGACAATTGAATCAGGCCTAGAAGGCAACCAGTCAAGACTGTTGCAGAGAAGCAGCCTACAAGAGAGTGTTCTTCAAGGAGGGAGCATTTATAGAACAATTGATGTGAATAAAAGTCTTGATATGAGATTTAAAAAATTAGTAAAGAATTTTCAACTGAGTTAGCACAAGTTAAAATAAAATTAAATGGGAATTGAACAACAAAATTATAACAGCTATTTCTCAGCAACTCATGGATTATCATAATATAAATTCATAATAGAAATTAATGGTACTGCAAATATTACAGATTAAATTTGTGGGTAGCAGGAAAAGTGATATTGCAATAGGAGTTCATAGACAAATGTTTCTACAACTTGAAAATTAATGTACTAGATATTTAAAGAAAGAATTAGAACAGAAACAACAGAATCAATTCTGAAAAACTAAAGTGAGGGGATAATGATGTAGAGAAAATTAGTAAAACATACAAAGCCAACCTTTGGTTGTTGGAAAAATGTAATAAATGGTGCAAACCGCAGGCAAGGTTAGAAAAAAAGAGAAAAGCACAAATAAAATGAAGAATTTAAAAAATACATAAGCATAGATACAGTAGAGATTAAGAAGCTAATAAGGAAATATGATTAAAACTTTATGATACAAATTTGAAAACTTAGACCAAATAGAATTTTATAAATTTATAGCTTAGTAAAATTGATACAAGAAGGCATATGTAATCTGAATTATCTCATACATGTTCAAGGAAATAAAGGATTGTTCCTAGAGATAAAACACTAGGCTCAGATTTTTTCCCCAGGCAGAGCATTTCAATATATATGAAGAATTCTATAGAATGAAAAAGGGAAAATCCTAAACTCATTGTGTGAGGCAAGCAGAACTTTGATGCCAACAAGACATAAACTGAGTGGATAAAAAGATATGAAAACTAAAGTCCATTATCATTCATGAAGCAAATGGTAAAATCCCAAATGTAACAAGATTTATGTGGATTCTTTGAGGGTTAGAAGGAAATTTCCTTCTGCCAGATCCTGCTACTCTGGGACAACACACACACAAATTTATGTTTTGAGATTTTCTGTAATACCCATGCAATATGGAACTGGCTTGACAATCTGTGTGATAGCCAGCCTGTGGCCATGACTTCTCAGGGACACAAATTGTTTCTGTTTGCCTCCTTGTTCTGCTCAGCTCCAAGAGAACTTTGACCAAAGTTCCTTGAGCTTGGAAATAGGAATGGGTTTGCTTCTCTTTCACCCTTACTGTGAAGATACAGTCCGGTGGAATCCAGATCCACTGGGAGAGAGTCGGCTATTAAACTCTTTTCATGAGTAGTCCCTAGGCCTTGACTGGAGTCTTTCTTGAGATATGAGGCTAATAGTTCCTTCTTGGTCCACCACTTTTTGATATAATTAATGCTTCTTCTATTGGGAATTTTTAATTGTTTGGGAAGTGACATGGTTTGGTGTGTCTCCATTCAAATCTCAACTTCAATTGTATCTCCCAGAATTCCCACATGTTGCAGGTAGGACCTAGGGGGAGGTAATTGAACGACGGGGGTTGGTCTTTCTCATGCTGTTCTTGTGATAGTGAAGAAGTCTCACGAGATCTGATGGGTTTTTCAGGGGTTTCCGCTTTAAGTTCTTCTTCATTCTCTCTTGGCATTGCATGTAAGAAGTGCCTTTATTCGCATACCATGATTCTGAGGCCTCCCCAGCCATGTGGAACTGTAAGTCCAATTAAACCTCCTTTTCTTCCCAGTTTCAAGTATGTCTTTATCAGCAGCATGAAAATGAACTAATACAGGAGGGTTGGTCCAAATAACTTTGGCTTCCGTTATAGAAGGTAGAAGTTGGTGAAATGTTTAATCTTTTCTGTGGCAAACTTTTGCAGTGGGTATTATTTTTCTAATTTTTTTTTTGTTGTTTTATTCACCTTTGTTTCTCACAGGGAACTCTTGCTCTGTAGCCAAGGCTGGAGTGCAGTGGCAGGATCTCTGCTCAACACAGCCTCCGCCTCCCAGGTTTAGCCTCTCCAGTAGCTGGGATTACAAGCATGCATCACCACACCCAGCTAATGGTTTTGTATTTTTAGTAGAGGCCTGGCTACACCATGTTGGCCAGGCTGGTCTCCAAGTCCTGAACTCAGGTGATCTGCCCATCTCAGCCTTCCAAAGTCCAACATGCTGGGAATACAGGCGTGAGCCACCGTGCCCAGCCAACTACAGTATTTTTTACCTAAGCGAGTGGACAAGTGCAGTTGTCTTTTTTTTTTTTTTTCTTTTTTGAGACAGGGTCTCGCTGTGTCATCCAGGCTGGAGTGCAGTAGTGAGATCTTGGCTTACTGCAACCTCTGCCTCCCAGGTTCAGGCGGTTCTCCTGCCTCAGCCTCCCAAGCAGCTGGGACTACAGGAATGTGCCACTAGGCCTGGATAAGTTTTATATTTTTGGTAGAGACAGGTTTTTGCCGTGTTGCCCAGGCTGTTCTCAAACTCCTGATCTCAAGTGACCCACCAACCTCGGCCTCCCAAAATGTGGAAATTACAGGCAAGAGCCACCATGCCCGGCCTGGAGTTGTGGTTTTTTGACATAAAAAGAAATCTGTGCAGGAAAAAGCTTGGTTTGTGGGAGCATCTGAGCTCAGTTTGGCTCAAAGGTTTGGGATACCTATTATTAGTGAAGGTATGTTGTTAATATACAATATGTTCATTTACATAGCATATGTATATGCTCATCAGATATTTTCAGGTAAAAAAATAGACATTCCAGTAGTTTGAGCCATTACAGCAATTTCCACTGGGGGATTTAACAGTCAGATTCCAGTTGTGGGCAATAGTGATTAACATAATGGTTATTAATGAGAAGAGATTTTGAGATGTTCACCCATGTTTAGATGTCAATGTCTTGAAGGGATGGGTTTGGCATATTATGAAGAAAGAGTGCATTAGACTGGATACTAAGAAAAACATTGAATTTTTTTTCTTACCTCTATAACATGAAAGGACAATTAGAGATATAGAAACAATGGAACATTTCACAGTATGACTTGACATTTCACTGAACTTTTATCCTTTTAACTATGTACAAAGTTTACTACATATGCAAAGGTAGGACTGCTATAGGAAGAAAGAGGTGGAGTTAGAGGTCACAATCGACAGCAAGATGAAAGTCTTTTGTGGATCGCACCCTGAGAGTTGAATTAGAGTGAGAATTAACTTTCAGATTGACAAAAGAGAACAAGGAGAATGAAGCTAGCAGTAGTTAACAGTATTGGATTAATTGAAATGAATGTTGACAGAGTTTTTTTGGCTTTCCATCAAATTGAGTAAAGAAACAGTAACTGCTTATCCAATTTCACACATATACAATTGTGGATTAATTAAAAGATTACACAACCCATATATTATGGGTATCTCATATAAATGTATATGTACAAGGGCAAACTTACAGTGTGCAAATACGTGTCTGTATCTAAATATATATAATTCCATTGACCAACAGTCAGAAAGTTAGAAATTATTCTCCCATTTTACCATTCCCTTTCCAACAATTTTGTCACAAATATAATTTTTCATTATGTTTGAAGCCTACTCTCTGGAGGCATGTAATGTATGGATACAGTAAAGCCCTGAGATATCACAATGTTGGTGTCAGAGAAAACAACTACACTGGTGTTATAAAAGATTAATCATGAGGAGAAAGTTATACTTCACCTTACTACAATTACAGGTGTATGACTTCATCAAAAGCTGAAATCATTTAATATACTTTCTTTTTAATGTTTTATTTAAAATAGTTAATTTCAACAGGATTACTCAAGGAAAATATTGGTATTCATAATCAATAATGTTGAAAAATTCCCTTTAATTGTTGATTATTTAAAATGTAAGTAAAATACTAAAAAGTACGTATAATATAATTTCATGAAGCATTCTTTATGGTTTTCATAAAATTAATAGTCTCAATGTAATATTTTGAGACTGAGGAAGTTCCATATATCATTTTATTGTATTTTCACTTTATTACTTGCTTGCATGTCATAACTGATGGAAATAAAAATATGTATATTTACACATATGAAAAATGTGGATTTTTGTTTATGTTTTCTAGTGAGACAAAGTTACCAATAATTTTATCTATATAGGAAAATTTTTACAAACCCAAAGTTCTTAACTTTCTTTTCTTTTGAAGTTTTATATTTCAGTCTAGGTATGAAATGGAATTGGCTGTGATCATTCTTTGATTTCATTGTTATTTGTGAGTTTCTGATACAGTGTTAGGAATGTATAGACTTTAAAGCTTGCTTTCTTCTTCGTCATCTCCCTTTGGACCTGTATATGTGATTTCTGCAGTAATGTGCACTGTTATCTGACATATGGTTGCTGAAAGATACAAGCGTAAATAGAATTCTTAGTTTCAGTGAATCTTTAGGAACAGAGAAGTAAAAGTGAAAGAAAATTATGGTATGAATGTAAGTAAGCAGTTTATCACAGAGGTACAATAAGGGTGAAAATAAATTTAAAAATACATGCCTCATCCAAAACATGAGGTAGTAAAAATGAAAAATTTAGGTTGGCATAAACAACAGTTTAAAAGTTATGATCATTTCTGATGACAGCAAGTAGCTCAGAAACCATGAGGAAGTCCTGCAAATCTACATGTTGGATTGGCAAGTCAGGATGGGAAGCCTGGGTCTGGAGGAGGGTGCTAAGGTCCTGGTCAGGTTGAGGTTCTCCTGGGGCTCAGTGGTGTCTCAGTGCGAGAGCTGGGAAGTGGAAACGCATGCTTCACCCCAGCTACAAGGCCACATCAGCCCACCTAGATGAAATTATCCCTTGACTGTCCTCTTTCTCCCTCTTGGACAGGCAGGTGAAGGAACTCAACTATCCTGAGTACAAGTGTCAGGAAGAAGTTTGCCTTTCATCACAACGTTTACTTCCGCAATGAAGTGATCAGTAAGGAGTATTGCATTGGTATCCTCAATGAGGAGTGCCTCCCGGCATGTTAGAGGGGACAGTATGCAGGAAGCCGTGCCTGGCGTGAGCCTTGCTGACTCCTCTCTCTCCAGGATACAGGGCGACTGGCTCCACTGCAGTCCAGTGGTTCTAGGGTCATGCAGGTGAAAGCCCGAGTTTCCCGCAGGTCACTACCTAACTGAGCTTCTTCAGCTGATTGGCTGACTGTGACTGCCCAGGGTACGGCACGATTGCTGAGGTGGGGCAGCTATGGGGCATCATGGCAAAGGACCTTCTTCGACATTCCTTGGCATCAGAGGAATTGGCTTTGAACCAGAACCTGACCTGTCATGACCAATTTGCCCAGTCCACCAGATCATCAGCCAGGGCCTGTGGCTCTATATTCTGCAGCACTACCCAAGGGAGTTAGGCCCTCAGAGAGGGAACAGAGAAGAGGCCAGGGAAGCAGCCCAGGGCTGGGGGTTGAGAGGCCTGTGGGTCTTGGAGGTAGGACACACATAGAGAAGCCAAGGCTCAAGGAGGAGACTGCAGTAAGCAAACTTAGGCCATCATAGGCTGGTGGAGAAAGGCCCACCAGGGAACTGTAGTACCCACGTTTCAGGATGGGGGAACCCTAATCTGCTTAATAGACATAAGTAGCTAAGGTCAATGGGTGAGAAGCCAGGATCAAGAGATAGCTGCCTCATCAGCCCTTGCTAGCTCCCTTCCTTGTCCTGAGACTTGCTACTTACTACCTGGGGTTCAGCTTGGACTCAACCAGGGCTCTCTCACCCTCCACACAGATGCCCACCTGAGGCCTCTCTAGGTCTGCATCCTCCCAGAATGACTCTCCCAGGGCTGCCAAGTTCCGTTTGGATGATGCCAGTCTCCTCTGACATGCTCGTTTCCCTCTGCCATCCTCATTCAGCCAGCAACTCCCCGCCCCTAAAAAAGGCAGGCCAAACTCAGCAACTCTCCACCCCCCAAAAAGACAGGGAATCTGGAGGACCACAGAGGGCTCACAGGGGAGGAAATGTGAAGAGACAGCAAGAAGGAAGGGGACCTTCCGAGTGCTTCCAGGAAGGCAATCTGTCTGGACATTAAGGCGCACCTCACTATTGGTGAGGACACCCAGTGTCTCTTGGCCCTGTGCATGTGCATACACACACATTGTCTAAATGGCACTGACATCAGTACTACCTAAGTGATCTTCAGATTCTATACAACCCCTGTAAAAATATCAATGACCCATTCTTAGAAAAACAATCTGAGAATCCTAAATTTGCTATGAAATGGCAGAAGATCCTGAAAACCCAGAGCAAACCAGTAAAAAGCACAAAGCTGGAGGCATCACACTGCCTAACTTCATGATCTACTACAAAGCTTTACGTACCAAAATAGAATAGCACTGGCAGAAAAGGGAAGACTCGAGCTTATGAGAAACAATAGGAGCCCAGAACTAAGTCACTGCATTTGCAGCTCACAGCCTTTTCCCAAAGAAGCAAGAATACCCAGTGCAAAATCAAGTATCTTCTATAAACTAGGCTGGGGAAAACCTGAGTATCCACATAAAGCATTTTACAAGTGGATTATTTCTCACCAAACTCCAATGTCAGACTTGAAACGATAAAAATACTAGGAGAAATCACAAGGAAGAAGCTCCACGGCAACCCTGTGGGCAATGATGGTCTCAAAGTGACTGCGAGAGCACAGTAAACACCATCAAAAATAGAGAACGGAATCATATCAAACTAAAGTGCTTCCACACACCACAGAAAACTAAACAGACAGGGACATCCTACAGGATGGGAGGAATGATTGGATCACCATGCATCTGCTAACTGGTGAATATTCACAGTACATAAGGAACTCCCAACAAATCAATAGCATGAAAACCAATGGGCTAAGGCTGTGAATACTCATTTGTAAAACGAAGACATACAGTTGCCCAGAAGACACACTAAAAAGTCCTAATCCTTCAGGAAAATGCAAATCAAAAACAGAGTGAGATTTCTTCTCATTTCAGTCAGAATGCCTATTATCCAAAAGACAAAACAAACAAACAAACAAACAAAAATGCTCATTTCTAGTGAGGATGCAGAGAAAAGGAAATCATTGCTCACTTTTGGTGAGAATGTAAAGTAGTGCAGGCATTACAAGAAGCTTTATGGCTTTTATTTAAGTATAAACAGTATTCAGAAATCTACAAGTAGAACCACCCACCATATGATCCAGCAAATCAGAATTCTGGGGCACACCCACAAATACACATATCAGTATGTTGAAGCGGTGCATGCACCGATGCAATTATTGCTGCACTCTTTACATTTTTGCTATAGCCAAAATACAGAAGCAACCTGAGAGTCCCTCGATTGATGAGTGGATTAAAAAAATGGGGCAAAAACACATATGCACAACAGAAAAATGCACTGCAGTAATAAAAAAGGAAATCCTGCCAGTTGTGACAATGTGTGTGAATATGCTGAATGTGTGCATGCCATTTTGTTAAGTGACATAAGCCATGTATCAGAAAGGCAAATAGCACATGACCTCATCCTTATATGAAATATAAAAAGCAGACCTCACAGAGGTAGTGACTCCAATGGTTGGGGTGAAGAGGGTGCACTGAGGAGATGCTGTATCAAAAATACATATTTCTAGTTAGAAAGGAGGAATAGGTTAAAAACATTTTCTTCAGCATGCTGACTATAACTAGGGATAATATATTCTTTCTCTAAAAAATTCGAAGACAGTGCTTGTCAGTTTTTTCACAACAAAAATGACAAGTATGTGAGGTCATGCTTATGTTGATTAGCTGAATGCATCCACTGCATAATGTATATGACCTTTGGAACATCACCCCGTAAGTTATAAACATGTATCTTTTCATACGCCATTTTAAAAAATAAACAATTTTTAAAATTCCTCAAGAGAATAAATGTCAATAAAGTATTTTATTATAAAGCAGTGCTTTTCTTTTCTATCAAAGTCTTTTTCATGATACAGGAAAGAATGCGACGTCGTTTGGTAAGTTAAGAAAAAAATATATGTGTACATGTATATACATATATATGAAAATCCCAGTGAAGGCCGATGATGAGTTGAAAGATAGAAATTACAGGCGCGGAGACTATAGTCCATGAATTGAAACCTTCACTGCATGTTTCAATAGAAGACGTGAGGAGGAGGAATAAAAAGCAAAAAACACAAAGCCATGGCCGGGCCATGGGTCACACCTGTAATCCCAGCATTTTGAGAGGCTGAGGTGGGAGGATTGCCTGCACTCAGGAGTTCCAGATGAGCCTGGGGCAACATGGGCCCACATCCAAAAAGTAATTAATTAATTAATTAATTAATTAATACATAGCTGGGAGGGGTGGCATGCACCTGTACTGCCAGGTGTGTGAGAGTCTAAGTTGAGAGGATCACATAGGTGTGTGGTGTCTGGGCTACAGTGGGCAGAGATCATGGGGCTGCTCTTCAACCTAGGAGACAGAGTAAGACCCATTCTAAGGAAATGAACACAAAAAGCGTCACATTAGGTAAATTAAAACTATGTAGTGTGAGGAGAATCAAAATAAATGAAATATCAGTAGACCTTATGCAATCCTAGGAAACAGCTTTCACATAATAACAGCCCCAGATGGGGAGAATAATGAAAAAAGGTAGAGAGAACACTGTAAATAATAACACACCAAACTCCCCAAATGAGTTAAAAGACATAAATGTCAAAGAGTGCTTCTTTTGGATTCATAGCCCTTAATAACAAGTGCAAGTTTCTTTCTGAATCCCTGACATACATTCATCTAGCCTGAACCTCTTGGTGAAGTTCTCAGATCATGATTTGTCCTTTCTATATGCCCTCATTTTGTTATTTCCTATCACTTATCTGTAGCAGGTCATAACGAATCATGATGCTTTGACATTCTTTGACACAATGAAGAACTCATGTATGAGTTCATTAAACAATAGTTTATGACATGTCATGAAGAAATTATGTATGTATAATATTTGTTAAAAAGATAAAATAACATTAAAACAGAGGGAGAAGAACATTTTATTGGTTTCATCATTGTGCTTGTGTTTACACAGCATGTATCTACGAACTACAGCTGCCTCCTGGAAAATGATCTGACACAATCACTTGAAAGTTCTCATTCTGCTTTGGAGACCACAGGAATCACCCACTTTTTCACTTTTCCACCTTTTGGATACACTGAGTGGGATGAGTGGAATCCGTGTGATTTTTGGCTTTCCTGTCATGCCCAGTATTTTTTTTAACAGTCATTGCTAGATCGGCCAGAAATAAACCCTTCATTGTGGCTCAAAAAAAGAACTCATATCCTTCAGCTGAGAGTCTTTGAAAGAGGAATTTCATCCAGACATTAAAATGATAATCTGATGCCACTGATAACAGATTCAGAATTACAAACTGAATTTAGATAGAGAATAAAAAGACAGATGATACAGATGGAAAGCGTGTGGTGGGGAAGGAAGAAAGGAGGGGTGTAAAGGAAAGAAAGGAAAAAAAGGAAGGGACAGAGAGTGATCGATGTTCAAAGACACAGATACAAAGTCCAGCACGGTTGTAGAGATAGGCATGTAAAATTACTACAAGTAGTGTGGAAACCTATTGGGTAGACAGAGACATAGGTGGAGTCAGAGAAAACATATAAACCCACACAGAAAAATAAACATACACAACTACAAACACACACGTGGTAGTTTAAACATGAAAAAACACCAAGACCCTGACACTAGAAATAACACAGGTGTTTCAGAGTTACTGAGGCAGAATACAAATTTGTCAGTGACCTTAGTATCTGCGGCCCATGTGCATGAACATGCAGTGGAAGAATCATTAGACAGCCTGTATAATTCAGCACCATCTCTGATAATACCAAAAGAAGGGTTCTCATGTGAAATCACTAGACTGAATTGTATGTAGGAATGGAGGAAGAAGCCCAGTCTGCTGCATTCACTTACTGGGGTGTCAATATGGCTGAGCCAGCAACTCATGGCATGCCCATCCATTGTAGACAGTTCCTGGTTTGCTGCCTGCCTTGGAAAAAGTGCTTCCCGTACCACTTTAAAACAGTCTAGCTCCAAAACTAGCCCTGGCATCTATTTACGGTATTTTTCTTTTCTATTTACCTCCTAGAAAAATAATTGCAAGACCCTTTCCTCAACTTTTTCCTATGCATTAAATTTGGGGCAAGACCTTTTCAGACGACCTCATTATAGGCAAGTCCCCAGATGTTTCCTAATCTGAGTTGCCCTGAGTGCACACACCAATCTGTTGCCCCATTCCACTATAGGGGTACTGTACTGGACCACAGTGCCTTTGACCAGCACACAGTAAGATAATGGCAGCTTGCGGGGGCCAAAGGGTTCCAACTGTTTTCATAATAATTTGCTGAGGAAACCCGTTTCTCCTGTGTTTGTGGGACATGGGGACAGTAGTCAGAGGAGGACAAGACTCCTGCTGGAGAGCCTCAGCTCTTTGCATAGGAGCAGGGGCAAAACTGGGCTATAGATTTTCAAAGCTCAACTGCTGATACCGAGCAGGAGGTGTGGAATGCTTTTTGAAGGCAGCACAACAGATTCATGAACTTTGACTGTCAAACACCCTTCCCTGAAACAACACAGCTCTTCTCTCAGGAGCTGTGCTGACCAGAGTCTGTAGAGGACAGGAATGTTAGCACTCTATTAGTGTGTGGCCAACATGGATGCTCATGTTGGAACTGTTTTATCTGGGAACAGGGAAGAAAGTTCTGTGCCCAACAATGAAATCCTCCTCCCCCTTCTATGATAGAGGCAACCCCTTATCTTGTGCATAGACACAGGTGTCCCTGGGAAGCAGCCACCCACTCGAGAATGAACACTGTATGTTTTGTCCTCCTGTGTGAGGCTTGCAACACATACTCTGCAACTATATTCTCTTTATATTATTAATCTTAGGCAAAGTATGCTGAAAAGGCCAAAGAAAATAAAAGGGTCCTGGCTCTAGAAATAATCTGCAGTGCCCATCACTAGGGAGAATAGAGCCTCACTAGAATGTGCAAGAGCACAAAATGCACTCATAATGTTGTTAGCTACATACATTATTGGCTCCTCACTTAACATAGAATCTTGGAGAAAAGCTTAAAACAACTAAAGATATAAACATCAACAAGAGTGTCCATATCCTGGTCATCAAGTGACAAGAGAGTCCATGTGTGGATCCTCCAGCAATCTTATATTCCACAAATCCTCCCCCTTTTCCCTCACTTCTGTAAGTTTGCATTTTCCCTTAGTCATCTATGCCAGTATCCTGAATGCCTTCCCACATGCCTCTGTCACCTTTCCCACAGTGCCTCCATACAGGTTACATGCCCATTTCTTCTCAAGTTGATGTCTGAGAAGTCCTGAGAGGCTGATTGTCCCAGAAAAGGATTATGCATTCACCTTTAAAAGGAGAACATGTGAATTCAACACGAAATTGAACTTTAAGATTTCTATCATCCTGTGCTATCTATTGGGTATGATGATACCAAAATGAAGGATTTTGGAGGTCCCAGCAAACTGGGCCCTGGAAACCTTAGTGCCTATTGACCCCTTTCCTTGAACTACCTCTGCTTCCATAGGACGAAGTAAGCCTCCAACTAAGCTGTCTTTTGCTTTTACCTCCCCAACTCTGTCCTGTAGGAAGAATCTCAACACATTCCACACCTATTCACTCTACAACTTTAGAGGCCCAGCTCCAACACAGACTGGTTATTTCCATGAAGAGAATAATGCACATGGATTGATCAATTCATTATGACACCCGGATCCAGGGGATAAATATACACACACATACACACACCCAAACAGAGAAACACACACAAACACAGAGTCACATATCCTTGAGAATGTTTATTTTTCATTCCATACAATCCAAGTTTACCCCCTCTTCCTGTCTGATTTTCTGTGACTCGATCTGTTTTTCCTTTAGTTCCTGTGCATAAGACCATGCTGAATACTGACATCCTGCATACTGTAGTAACTTTTTAGGAGTTCTGCTGCTTTCGGTAAAGTGTGATGCTCCATCATACTCAACTCAACATCGGGGAGAGACTCAACTCAACATCTGGGAGTACCCTGGAGAAACACAAACACATGTCAAAATGCATTTTCTCTGAGCCATACTTTGAAATATTTCAATTGTAGGGCCCGCTGAGAAAAGGATATCCCTTCCCCATTTGTGATCCCTTAAACTTCCTCCTACCACGTGTTACAAACTGTTCTGTGCAATCCCTGCCCCATTCCCAGTATTCTCTGTGAGGGGAGTCAGCTAACAAGATGCACTGTACCCTAAAAGCACACAGAAATCTGATGGGGCAATAGCTTAAGGAAATCCATCAATGTAAACAGTCCTTTGTGGTTTGGGGCAAGGAGGACCAGGACGCACATTCAGGGAGCCCAATCTTATGGGGTTGGTAGGATGACTGCCGGTGGGGTTGACAGCCATGGAATCAAGTGCCACAGACTGAAGTGAAGGATTTTTAGCTTTTCTTCTCAGTGATTCTGGAAATGGATGATGCTTCGCTGGGCTTAAGACTTCACAGCTATAACGTGCTTTGCAGTGCAGTCTCTAATGTGCCTTTTTCAGCCCAATGCCATGAATGTCCTGGATTCTGTCACACTCTGTCTTCCTCTCAAGGAATTTCTACATGTATGAAAGGAGGCTCAATTTCTACATTTCTGAAATGAGCCTCCAGGCTCCCTGAATAGGCAGGTGTGTCAACCTCCTTATCCTGGGGATCAAAAAGCTTCAGTTCCAACTGAACAGCTCACCTGAAATCTCTGTTCCCTCTTCAGGTGGCTTCATCCTCTTGTAGGATTGCAGGGGATTGCACCACAGGTCCTTACATAGGATCTGTCAGGGGAATCCATCGGGAAAGGCCTCATCAGGACTCAGAATGGTGACCCAAGCAGCTGGGAACACATGGGGTCATTCCTCATGTTTCCCAGTGAGGACTCACCTCAGCAATCCTGTTAGATCCTGCGAAGTTGTGGTCAGAGAACCAGTTGAAGAATTCAGGCTCCTGTTGTGGTGGTTGCGGCGATAGGCCTCCACTTCATAATCTGGATACCAATCAATTGGAGTGGAATGAGAAGCCCTGTATTCTACAGAGACAGGAATTTTTGCGGGAAGGGGATTGGATCACATTGGCAATGATCCACCCACCATCTTCCTTCCACCACCCATCCTGGGAGCCACCTGTCACCTGTGATGTTCACCAGATATTCCTTGGTAATCACTTTATTCTGGAAGTAAGGGTTACTCTGAAACAACAACATGATCTTGCACAGGTGAACTGGATGCTTCACTTCTTCCACCTGTCAGGGCAAGGTGGAGAAAGCTTAAATACCTTTTCGGGTGAGATGCCTGCTGTTGCTTACAGGAATGAATTATTTCCCTTACCCTCCCCCACTAAACCCTCTAGCCTCAGTCTTCCTGGCCTTACCTCCAGGTGGATCATGTAGCTCAGCATGTCTTCATCTTGGTCAGTGATCAGGGCTGACATCTGGGGGTGGTGTGCAATCTGATTTAGGTCAAAGAGACTTTACACACGATGGAAGGGAAAGCGAGGAGCAACAGGGAAGAAGGCCTAAGAGCACCCAGAGGCTGGGGTAGGGGATTTCTCAGATCTGCTTCCATGTATGACCTCCTTTCGCCTCCCCCTCCCCGTAAACTAAGGCCTCCTGTGTTCACGGAGGGTGTATAATTCTGAGGCTGACTGCACTGACATGGGGAGGCGTGATGTGCGGAGAGTTGCTGGTGTCTGAGGAGTGGCAGAATCTGCTTATAGTCGAAGACGCCCAGTCGCAGATCGGACTAGCAAGTGGCAGCAATCACACTCCCTTAAAAATACCTTGATTCACTGAAAAACGTCTTCTGCTCTGAACTCGCTTCTGCTCTTCAAAAAGATGCCCCAAACGTCTGCTGCTCGGCATCACCAAGGGTTTCTCTGCCGCATGCAGGACAATAGTACCCACGCCTGCTCCGGCTTTCCACAGCCACATTTGTCCGTGGCAACTCCCCTTTGTTCCCCAAAGAGTCACATCGAAGCCGAGCTGCCCATCAGTTACTTACACTTTCCCGAGAGCACCTCTCCACTAGAAAGGCCGAAGAAACACTGAGAAGGATACAACATTGGCCCAGAAGCCAGGGACGCTCTGGATGATGGCGCCTCTGCGGTCTAGGTGGGGCTTGCGCCTCCGCTCCATCTTTTCCCGCTGCCGAGAAAAGGCCTTCCTGGCTTGGGCATTAACCGGCTCCAGCTCCACCTGAACGGCCAGCAGCTCCTCCAGTGCAGACTCTGGGGTCATGGGCCCAGGGCCAGGCTGTGCCCGCTGGGCCTCCACCTGCCCCTCCACGAGGGCCTCCTCCTGGGCCACCACCTCCACCTCCGCCATTATGTCATCTGCCACCAGCACTGCCTCCAACTCCCAAAGCCGCCTGCTCACTCTCCACCCCGGCCGCCCCTCCTGTACAGCCTCCATCCTGAAGGCAGTGCCCTCCTCGGCACCGCACACACCAAGGCCTGTGCTGCTCCACCCACGCCATAGGAACCCTGTCGCAGATGGGCACCCGGTGGGTCAGCGGGCCCTCAGGGCCGCATGCGCCGGGTTTCCAGGAGACCCCTAAGGGACTGCGCGCTAAGGGCCAAGGGGCCGCACCCAGGCCGACTTCCTTCCCTCATGGCCAATCAATGGGAGGGCGGCGGGCGTCTCCCTGGGCTGCACAGCCACGGGCGCGCCTGCATCTCCAGCCCACTCACCCCACGCCTTCCGTCCCCGAGCCTCCTCCGAGAAGCCCTTGGAGCTTGTGCCGGGTAGCTCAGAGTCCAGGCACACGCGGGCTGCGTGGTCTTTGGAATTGTGGGCATGGTAGCCCTGTGCCCTGACATCCTGAGTGTGGCAAGCCATGATCATCTCTATGTGTCATGAACACACAAAACATCTCTCTTCGTTAGGCAGGCCAGGTAGATGGTACGGAAGTAATACTGCGGATCCAGAGAAGTCTGGTTGCTGGGGCTAGGGCGGCAGGGTTGGACTAGGGGAAGTGAGTCGGGGCGGGCACGTGGGAGGAAAGTCGCCTGCCGGTGCTGAGGTGGAATTGATCTGCTGTAGAGGCCAGAGCCCCGGCACACACTCTCACAGGTCGAGGCAAATAGAGGCTCCGAGTACCATGCTTCCTCCCTGAGGATGCTGTACTCCAAGGAGCATTCCAAAGGGCCTCTTGTCCTATGCCCTGGGCACACCAGAGGCCAGCCGCCAGGGTTGGCCATTGTCGGCCTGCGCGCACGCTGTTGTGCGCTGCCTTGACGATCCAGAAGCTCCCGCACCCGCAGCAGCGGCTGCGGTGCCTGCTGGTGGGGCTCTGCAAGCCCAGGGCCTGGGCCTCTGGCTCCCAAGCTCCTGTCCGCATTTGAGCCTGCTGGGGACCGGAGGCCTTTGACCAGTGCCAGATCTGCGGGTCCAGCGGAGCTCCTCAGGAAACCTGGGTCCACGTAGGTGTGGGACTAGGTTCTCAGCAGGGCGACGCCCGTGGGTCTTTCAAGGAGTGGGTCTGTTGGAGCCCGGGCCCCCAGAGCCTAGGGGTGCAGGACATGGGCTGGGCTAGGCTGCGCAGGCCCGGGGGCTGTGGGAGCACCCAGGAGAGCACTGTGTTCAGGCTGGAGGCAATGCTGGAGAGGACGGCCGGTGTACAGAGCAAGGAGGCGGCCTTGGAAGAGGAGGCGGTGCTGAAGGTGGAAGACATCATGGCTGAGGTGGAGGTGGTGGTTGAGGTGGAGCCCGACGTGGGGTGGCAGAAGGAGGGCCAGCGGGCACAGCCTGGCCCTGGACCGAGCACACCCGGGCCGTCAATGGACTCGCTGGAAGTCCTTCACTTGGAGGTGGGCTCCGTGAATGCCCCAGGCCACAGAGCATCTCCGCCTTGTGGGCCAGAGCCATACTTTGCAGCTGCCGATTCGGGATGGCTGGCAGCAAGGGATAGTCATTGGGCTTCAGGGGGGCATTGGGGCTGGTTGCGGGGAGGAGCCAGGTGGGAGGCACGTGGGGTCAGCCAGGAGGCAGGGTATGGGGGACAGGGTGGGAGCCGAAGCCACGTTGCTGCAGCTGTGAGGGCAGCTTCTTGTAGCACCCCTGGGAGCACGTGGTAGGGAAGGGGAGCCAAGCACAGCACTCACAAGGGAGAATCGCGGCGCCAAGTTCCCTTGCCGCACAGCACAAAGTCGAAGGGGACATTTCCCTGGGAACGTACCTGGAGGACGGTGAATTTGTATGCCATTGCCAGCCATTGAACCACCCCTGCTCTCGGTGCCTGTTTCCAGCAGGCTCACCCCAGAAACACAAGGTGCTTAAAACGAGTTCATGGTGCATGGGGTTGCCGACCACCTCAGGGCAGGTACCAGCTCCCCAGATATGCTTTCTTCCCCCTGCGGGCGCTGCACCCAAAGGTGTGTAGGCCTTGAGCCTATATAACTTCCTTTGCACCCACCCAATTCCCATGGAGAGCGCCAGGCACGACCCTGCTGTCGCTTCTAACTACAGGGCTTCCGTCAAGTGGACAGGCCCACCCCTCAGGGAGACTAGGATAAGAGGACACCACACACCCGGACATCAGCGGAGCATGTCCAGCACCCAGCACACAAAGGCCTCCTGCATCTCAGAAACCCAGAGAAGCAGCCGCCTCACACCACCCCCGGCCCCTCCCGTCCCTCAGCTGCAACCACCTGCCCACTTTTTCTGCCTCCCGTCTCTGGTCAGCCCAGGCCGTCTTGGCCAGGGTCCACCCACTCCAAAAACCACCACAGTTGTGGCGTTGCCTCCTCGCCAGACAGAGATAGAGGGCCAACAATGAAGGGTGACTGGCCAAATGTCTGGGAGATGGCCCTGTTCCACATTGTCTGTGTTCTTGCGAAATTGCAAGGCGTCACGAGGCTTGCCCACCCAATCCTCTGGAGAGTTCTTGCGCAGAGGTAGATTGTTTGGCACACGAGATGTCGGCGTGGGTCGGAAAGCATGCGGAAGTCCTGCTTTGCTACGTGATGGATTTGCAGGTCAGGCTGGGGAGCCTGGGTCTGTGGGAGGAGTCCAGTGTCTGAGTCAGTTTGAGGTCCCCCTGGGGACCAGGGTTGTCTCAGTGGGAGAGCTGGGAAGGGGAAACTCATGGTTCACTACAGCTAGTAGGCCACCTCAGCCCAGCTAGTTGAGATGGTCCCATTGAATCCCTCCTCTTTCTCCTTGATCAGGCAGGTGGAGGAACTCAGCCATCCCAGTTACTGGTGGCAGGATGATTTCCTTTCATCCCAACCTTTATTTCCACAGTGAAATCATCATGAAGGAGCACTGTGTTGGCATCCTCGGTAAGGAATGCCTCCCAGCATGGTAGGGAAGCTGGAGTGTGGGAGGGTAGGACTGGCATGAACCTTCCTGACTCCTCTCCCTTAAGGCTACAGGGTGTCTCATTCCACTGCAGTCCAGCGGTTCTGGGATCATGAAGGTCAAGCCTCCAGATGCAGGCAGTACACCTCCTACCTGAGCTTATTCAGCTGTTTGGCTGAACATGACTGCCTTGGTTTTGGTAGGATTGCTGAGGTGGGGTTCGCCGTGGGGCATCATGGGAAAGGACCTAGCTGGTCATTCCTTGGTCTCTGGGGAATTGGCTTTAAACTGTCACCTGAACTGTCCTGGACCCACTTCTGCAGTCCCCTAGATCATCAGCCAGGCCCTATGGCTCAATCTATTGCAGTTCTATCCCATGGAGAGAGGGTCAGCCCTAGAGGCGGAACAGAGAGGAGGCCAGGCGAGCAGCCTAGGGCTTGGAAGGGCTGGGAACTGAGAGGCCTTTTGACCTGGATCTGGGCCCCACATGGAGAACCCAAGGATCCTGGAGGAGACTGCAGTGAGCAATCCCAGGCAATCCGTGGGTTGGGGGAGAGAGGCCCATCAGGGACATGTAACACCCACATTTCAGGATTGGGGCACCTTAAGCCACTATGATGCATATGTGGCTAAAGTCAGTGGGTGACAAGCAGGGCTTAAGGGATAGCTGTCTCATCATCACTCACCAGCTCCCTGCCCTGCAGTAAGACCTGCGACCACCTGGGGCTCATTTTGAGATCAACCAGGGCCCCCTTTTTCTCCACGAGGATGTTCCTCTGAGGCCCACCTAGGTCTATGTCCTTTCACAGTGTTTCTCCCAGGCCAGTCATGTTTTGTTTCCATGATCCCAGCTGCCTTGACATGTGTTATCCTCTCTGCCATCCTCACTCCCACTGCCCTGCCTTCCCATATAAGTTAGTCCACCTCACACGGAATCTGGAGGACCACACTGGGCTCCAGTGTGAGGCAATGTTTTATTTTCTTCAGGTACATGTATTTTAGGACTACCTCCAGGGCTGGGAATGTGAAGAGATTGCCAAATGGCTGGGGACCTTCAGTGTGTGTCCAGGGAGGGAACCTGGCTGGGAATTAAGGCCCACTTGAGTAATGGTATGGACATCCAGTGTCAGTTATCTTGATAAAGACCTGCTTTCTTACATCACCTACTATTAATATAAAAGTTGATTTCTTAGAATATTGAAAAAACAAATTTAAGTATGAAGAAATATAATTTGTTCATAATTGTATGGAAAAAGCTGCCGACTGATCCATTTCCCATTACAATTCTTATGGGAGACTTGAAGTGTTTAGCAAGATTTAGGATGCATTTTTATTCTTCTACTCCTGCCAGTTTTAATGATCATTTTGTATCACAAGGACATGGTCTCTAGAAAGTTTTTGAGGGACTTTCAGCTTCTTTTAGGGTAGATAGTTGTAAATTTTGAATTGTTTTCCCCTGTGGTTCTTTTCAGGTTGCTCTTTCTACTTTATATGGGGGGGTGTTAAATTTGTTTTCTTATTTGCCCCTTGTGGAACTTTCGTTTTCAAGGAATTTTGTGTGTGTGTGTGTTAGATATGGGAGTTAGCCTGTGAGCATGTTTTCGAATACGGATTTTTTTTTATTCATCAGTTTTTGGGGTGTATGTGTGTGTGCGTGTGTGTGTTTTCAGATGGAGTCTCACTGTGTCATCCAGGCTGGAGTGAAGGGGAAAAGTCTCGGCTCACTGCAACCTCTCCCTCCAGCTTCACAGGATTCCCACGCCTTAGCCTTCCAAGGAGCTGGGATTACAGGCACATGCCACTATGTCCTGCTAATTTTTGTATTTTTAGTCGAGACTGGTTTCACCATATTTGCCAGGCTGGTCTGGTACTCCTGTGATCCGCCTGCACTGACCTCCCAAAATGTTGGGCATCCAAGTGTGAGCCGCCATGCCAGCCTCATTTGTTTGTTTATGTATTTTAATCATTGTTTTATTTTCTTCATGTAAACGTATTTTAGAATTATTGAACTAAATATATTTTATTTAGTTACTCCATACTTTAATAGGCTTTTGAAACTAATTATTCATTAACTAAATACAGTATTATGTATAGGTAAAACTTGTATAGTATTGCCATCCTGTCTTTCATAAATTATTCAAGAACTCTGATGCTGTTTTTGCCCCACATGAGGAGAAAATGCAGACAGTTATAAAAAATTCTGTTCCTGGGTAGGTACGAAAATATAATTTGAAAAAATGGTATATTTCACAAATACAGTTTCACATTTGTATTTTGCATCGTTTTGAAAATTGTAGTTGCTGATACATGAAATTATGTATTCACTTTCATGTTAAATGTACACTTTTGAATCAATTTCAACTATGAAAACAATTGAAGGCCAAGCATTAGTTCAGGAAGCTGAACGCAGTTGTGTTGTAAAAAAAAAACATATTTATTGAAAGTGTATTTAGAGAGATTTTAGAAGGCTTCAGTCAATATTTTTGTTTCTGTTGCTCTGGTGTTTTATCATACAGGGACCAGATGTAGCATCAGTAGCTATAGTTACAAGGCTACCAAAGACTCAGTGCTATAGAAATTATTATTGTGGAAATTGGCAGCCTGGCTGTCTGTTTGAGGAGACTAGAGGACTTAGGAGTTTCCACCCAAAGTACAAGGGCCTGGTTTAGTGGGTGGCCTTCTTTTGCTGAAGTAGATAAGATCCAGGAGAAGGGTGGATTCACTGTAGTAGCCAGGGCTTTGAGACTGGTAAAGCTTATTTGTCCCCTAGTGCCATTGCCAGATATTGGTCTGCGCATAATGGCACTTCCTGGACTCACTGACTCCTATAAATTCAAATGTAGAATTTAGATTTAAATCCCTATTCGAAATTCTTAAACTTACATCTAATCAGTGGGTAATAAAATATGTATTCAAAAGAAAGGGAGATATCAGATAAGTATATAAGCAAATCATCCTGGTCAAATATCTTCAAAAATATTACTACAAAATATTACTAAAGATTAAACCTTAAAATAGTTATTTGAATTGGAGAAACAGAAAAAGGTTGGAGTCGTTTTAAACCCTGAGGTGTAAAGGCACTATAATTAGATTACAGGAATTATATACAATGAATAATTTGTATAACTTATACAAAGAAGTTCAGTTTATTTTATCATGATTAACATTTTACATCCCAAATTTATGTATTTTATTATATTTCCAGTGACTGTTTTGTTTTGTTTTGTTTTGTTTTCAAATTTACTTCCACTCTGTCAGTCTGGAATGCAGTGGCTTCATCTCAGGTCACTGCAACCTCCGTCTCTTGGGTTCAAGGATTTAAAAAATTAGTAAAGAATTTTCAATTAGCCCAAGTTAAAATAAAAGTAAGTGGAAATTGAACAACAAAATTATAACCACTATTTCTTAGCAATTCATGGATTATCATACTAGGAATTGAAATGTACTTAGAACTTAATGATACTGCCAACATTAAAAATTAAGTTTGTGAGTAGCAAGAAAAGTGATATTACAATAGGAGTTTACAGAAAAATATTTCTCTAATAACTTGAAAATTAATGTACTAGATATTTCAAAAAAAGAATTAGAAGAGAAACAACAGAATCAATTCTGAAAAACTGAAGGGTGGGAATAATGATGGAGAGAAAATTAGTAAAACATACAAAGCTAAACTTTGGTTGTTGGAGAAATATAATAAATGATGCAACCCTCAGTCAAGTTTAGAAAAAAAGGGAGAAAGCACAGATAAAACTAAGAATTTAAAAGATACACAACCATAGATACAGCATAGATTAAGAAGCTAATAAGGAAATATCATTAACACCTTAACTTACAAATTTGAAAACTTAGATCAAATAGACAGATTTTTATAATGTGTCTACATATATAGACATATATATAGCTTTCTATATATATTTCATATTTATTTATATTTTTTATATTTATATCTTATATTTATATAAGATTATATATGATATAAATATAAGCTATGTATATAGCTTAGTAAAATTAACACAAGAAGACATATCTAATCTGAATGGTCTTGTAAATGTTCAAGGAAATAAAGGATTCTTCCTAGAGATAAAACAACAGGCTCAGATTTTTTCCCCAGGCAGAGCATTTCAATATATATGAAGAATTCTATAGAATAAAAAAGGGAAATTCCTAAACTCCTTGTGTAAGGCAAGCAGAACTTTCATGCCAACAAGACATAAACTGAGTGTAGAAAAAGATATGAAAACTAAAGTCCATTCTCATTGATGAAACAAATGGTAAAATCCCAAATGTAACAAGATTTATGTGAATTGTTTGAGGGTTAGAAGGAAATTTCCTTCTGCCAGATCCTGCTACTCTGGGACAACACACACACAAATTTATGTTTTGAGATTTTCTGTAATACCCATGCAATATGGAACTGGCTTGACAATCTGTGTGATAGCCAGCCTGTGGCCATGACTTCTCAGGGACACAAATTGTTTCTGTTTGCCTCCTTGTTCTGCTCAGCTCCAAGAGAACTTTGACCAAAGTTCCTTGAGCTTGGAAATAGGAATGGGTTTACTTATGTTTCACCCTTACTGTGAAGATACAGTCCGGTGGAATCCAGATCCACTGGGAGAGTCGGCTATTAAACTCTTTTCATGAGTAGTCCCTAGGCCTTGACTAGAGTCTTTCTTGAGATATGAGGCTAATAGTTCCTTCTTGGTCCGCCACTTTTTGATATAATTAATGCTTCTTCTATTGGGAATTTTTAATTGTTTGGGAAGTGATATGGTTTGGTGCGTCTCCATTCGAATCTCAGCTTCATTTGTATCTCCCAGAATTCCCTCGTGTTGCGGGTGGGACCCAGGGGGAGGTAATTGAATCATGGGGGTCGGTCTTTCTCATGCTATTCTTGTGACAGTGAAGAAGTCTCACGAGATCTGATGGGTTTTTCAGGGGTTTCTGCCTCAGGTTCTTCCTCATTCTCTCTTGGCATTGCCATGTAAGAAGTGCCTTTATTCGTATACCATGATTCTGAGGCCTCCACAGCCATGTGGAACTGTCAGTCCAATTAAACTTCCTTTTATTCCCAGTTTCAGGTATGTCTTCTTCAGCAGCGTGAAAATGAACTAAGACAGGAGGTTTGGTCCAAATAACCTTGGCTTCCATGATAGAAGCTAGAAGTTGGCGAAATGTTTAATCTATTCTGTGGCAAACTTTTGCAGTGGGTCTTATTTTTCTAATTTTCTTTCTTGTTCTCTTCACCTTTGTTTCTCACAGGGTACTCTCGCTCTGTAGCCCAGGCTGGAGTGCAGTGGCAGGATCTGAGCTGAACACATCCTCCGCCTCCCAGGTTCAGCCTCTGCAGTAGCTGCGATTACAAGCATGCATCACCACGCTCAGCTAATGTTTTGTATTTTTAGTAGAAGCCAGGCTTCACCATGTTGGCCAGGCTGCTCTCCTACTACAGATCTCAGGTGACCCGCCCGACTCAGCTTCCCAAAATCCAAAGTGCTGGGAATACAGGTGTGAGCCACCGAGCCCAGCCAACTCCAGTATTTTTTACCTAAGCCAGTGGACGAGTGGAGTTGCCTTCATTTTTTTTTCTTTTTTCAGTCATGATCTCGCTGTGTCATCCAGGATGGAGTGCAGTAGTCTGATCTTGGCTTACTATACAATCTCTGCCACCCATGTTCAGGCGGTTCTCCTACCTCAGCCTCCCAAGTAGCTGGGACCACAGGAAAGTGCCACTAAGTCTGGTAATTTTTGTATTTTTGGTAGAGACAAGTTTTTGCCATGTTGCCCATGCTGGTCTCCAACTCCTGACCTCAAGTGACCCACCAACCTCAGCCTCCCAAAATGTAGAAATTATAACAAGAGCCATGAAGCCTGGGCTGGAGTTGCGGCTTTTTGACATAAGAAATCTGTGGAGGAAAAAGCTTGGTTTGTGGGAGCACCTGAGATCAGTTTGGCTCAAAGGTTTGGGATACCTATTATTGAGTGGCAGTGACGGTATGTTGTTAATGTACAATATGTTCCTGTATATAGCATATGTCTATGCTCATCAGATATTTTCAGGTAAAAAAAGATAGTCATTCCAGTAGTTTGAGCCATTATAGCAATTTCCACCAGGGGATTTCACAGTCCAATTCCAGTTGTGGGCAACAGTGATTAACATAATGGTAATTAATGAGAAGAGATTTTGAGACGTCCAGCCACGTTTCCATGTCAGTGCCTTGTTTGCAGTATTATGAAGAAAGAGTGCATTGGACTAGATACTAAGAAAAACATTGAATTATTTTTCTTGCCTCTATAACATCAAAGGACAATTAGAGATATAGAAACTATGGAACATTTCACAGCATGGCTTGACATTTCACTGAACTTTTAGCCTTTTAACCGTGTACAAAGTTTGTTACCTATGCAAAGGTAGGACTGCAAAAGGAAGACAGAGGTGGAGTCAGAGGTCACAATCCACAGCAAGGTGACACTCTTGTTGATCGCACCTTGAAAGCTAAATTAGAGTGAGAATTAACTTTCCGGTTGCCGTAAGAGAACAAGGAGAATGAAGCTACCAGCAGTTAATGGTATTGGATTAATTGAAATAAAGGTTGACATATTTTTTTGGCTTTCCATCAAATTGAGTAAAGAAAAGGTAACCGCTTATCTAATTTCACGCATATACAATTGTGGATTAATTAAAACATTATACAACCCATATATTATGGGTTTCTCATATAAGTGTATATGTACATGGGCAAACTCACAGTGTGCTAATATGTGTCTATATCCAAGTATATACAAATCCAGTGACCAACAGTTAACAAGAGAGAAATTCTCTTCCATTTCACCATTCCCTTTCCTAGAATTTTTTCATAAATATAATTTTTCATATATTTGAAGCCTACTCTCTGGAGGCATGTAATGCATGCATGCAGTAAACCTGTGCGATCTCACAATGTTGGTGTCAGAGAAAACAAAAACACCAATGTTATAAAAGATTAATTGTGAGGAGAAAGTTATACTTCCCGTTACTACAAATACACAAGTATGATTTCATCCAAAGCTGAAATCAGTCAATATAATTTGTTTTTAATGTTTTATTTAAAATACTTAATTTCAATAGGATTACTGAAGGAAATTAACGGTATTCATAATAAATAATGTTGACGAATTCCCTTTAATTGTTGATTATTTAAAACGTAAGTAAAATACTAAATGGCACTGTATAATGTAGTTTCATGAAGCATTGTTTATGGTTTTCATAAAATTGATAGTCTCCATGGAATATTTTGAGACTGAGAAAATTCCATATATCATTTTATTGTACTTTAACTTTACTACTTGCTTACATGTCATAACTGATGGAAATAAAACTATGTATATTTACACATATGCAAAGGATGGATTTTTGTTTATGTTTATGTTTTCTAGTGAGACAAAGTTACCAATAATTTTATCTATATAGGAAAATTTTTAAAACTATATTTTTAAATTTTTACAAACTATATTTACAAATTTTTACAAAAGAAAGTTCTTAACTTTCTTTTCTTTTGAAGTTGCATATTTCAGTCTAAGTATGAAATGGTATTGGCTGTGATCATTCTTTGTTTTCACTGTTATTTGTGAGTTTCTGATACGCTGTTAGGAATGTACAGATTTTAAAGCTTGCTTTCTTCTTCTTCATCTCCCTTTGGACATTTATATGTGATTTCTGCAGTAATGTGCAGTGCTATCTGACATACAGTTGCTGAAAGATACAAGCATATATAGAATTCTTCGTTTCAGTGAATCTTTAGGAACAGAACAGTAACCTGAAAGATAATTATGGTATGAATCTAAGCAAGCAGTTTATCACAGAGGTACAATAAGGGTGAAAATAAATTTAAAAATACATGCCTCATCAGAAACATGAGGTAGTCAAAATGAAAAATTTAAGTTGGCATAAAGCACACTTTAAAAGTCCTGATTCTTTCTGGTGAGAGAAAGTAGCTCAGAAAACATGAGAAATTCCTTCAAAGCTGCATGTTGGGTTTGCAGGTCAGGATGGAAAGCCTGGGTCTGGGGGAGGGTGCTAAGGTCCTGGTCAGGTTGAGGTCCTTCTGGGGCTCAGGTGTGTCTCAGTGGGAAAGCTGGGAAGGGGAAACGCATGCTTCACCCCGGCTAGAATGCCACCTCAGCCAACCTAGATGAAATTGCCCCTTCACAGCCCTGTTTCTCCTTCTTGGACAGGCAGGTGGAGGAACTCGGCCACCCTGAATACAAGGGGTAGGAAGAAGTTTCCCTTTCATCACAACATTTACTTCGGAAACAAAGTGATGACTAAGGAGTATTGCGTTGGCATCCTCCCTGAGGAGTAGAGGGGGTAGTACCTCGGGAGCTGGGCCTGGCGTGCGCCTTCCTGACTCGTCTCCCTCCAGGATACAGGGCGACTGGCTCCACTGCAGTCCAGTGGTTCTAGGGTCATGCAGGTGAAAGCCCGAGTTTCCCGCAGGTCACTGCCTGAGCTTCTTCAGCTGGTTGTCTGACTGTGAGGGCCCAGGTTACGGCACGATTGCTGAGGTGGGGCAGCTATGGGGCATCATGGCAAAGGACCTTCTTCGACATTCCTTGGCATCGGAGGAATTGGCTTTGAACCAGAACCTGACCTGTCACGACCAATTTGCCCAGTCCACCAGATCATCAGCCAGGGCCTGTGGCTCTATATTCTGCAGCACTACCCAAGGGAGTTAGGCCCTCAGAGAGGGAACAGAGAAGAGGCCAGGGAAGCAGCCCAGGGCTGGGGGTTGACAGGCCTGTGGGTCCTGGAGTTAGGACACACATAGAGAAGCCAAGGCTCAGGGAGGAGACTGCAGTAAGGAAACTCAGGCCATCATGGGCTGGTGGAGAAATGCCCATCAGGGAACTGTGGTACCCACATTTCACGATGGGGGAACCGTAATCTGCTTAATAGGCATAAGTAGCTAAGGTCAATGGGTGGGAAGCCAGGGTCAAGAGATAGCTGCCTCATCATCCCTTGCTAGCTACTTCCCTGTCCTGAGGCTTGCTTCTACCTGGGGTTCAGTTTGGGCTCAACCAGGGATCTCTCACCCTCCACACAGATGCCCACCTGAGGCCTCTCTAGGTCTGCGTCCTCCCAGAATGACTCTCCCAGGCCTGCTAAGTACCGTTTGGATGACACCACGCTCCACTGACATACTTGGTTCCCTCCGCCATCCTCATTCACCCAGCAACTCCCCACCCCAAAAAAGGCAGGCCACCGCACAGGGAATCTGGAGGACCACACAGGGCTCACAGGGGAGGAAATGTGAAGAGATGGCAAAACAGAACAGGACATTCCGTGTGTTTCCAGAAGGCAATCTGGCTGGATATTAAGGCCCACCTCAGTATTGGTGAGGACACCCAGTGTCTCTTGGCCCTGAGCATGTGCACACAAACACGCACATTGTCTAAACGGCATTGACATCACTACTACCTGAGTCATCCTCAGATTCTATACAACCCCTGTAAAAATATCAATGACACATTCTTCTTAGAAAACAATCTGGGAATCCCAAATTTGCTATGAAATGGCAGAAGATCCTGAAAACCCAGAGCAATCCAGTAAAAAGCACAAAGCTGGAGCCACCCCACTACCTAACTTCATGATATACTACTACAAAACTTTTTGTACCAAAATACAATAGCGCTGGCAGAAAAGCAGAGACTAGAGCTTAGGAAAAACAACAGGAGCCCAGAACTAAGTCACTGCATTTGCAGCTCACAGCCTTTTCCCAAAGAAGCAAGAACGCCCAATGCAAAATCAAGTATCTTCTATAAACTAGGTTGGGGAAATCTGAATAGCCACACAAAGGATTTTACAAGTGGATTATTTATCACCAAACTCCAGTGTCAGATGTGAAACGATAAAAATAGCAGAAGAGATCACAAGGAAGCAGCTCCATGGCGTCCGTGTGTGCAATGATGGTCTCAAAGTGACTGCAAGAACACAGTAAACACCATCAAAAATAGAGAATGGAATCATATCAAACTAAAGTGCTTCACCACACCATAGAAAACTCAACATACAGAAGGGGCATCCTACAGGATGGGAGCAATGATTGGATCACCATACATCTGTTCATGGGGGAATAGTCACAGTACATAAGGAACTCCCAACAACTCAATAGCATGAAAACAAATGGGCGAAGGCTGCGAAGACTCATTTGTGAAACTGAGACATACAGTTGCCCAGAAGACACACTAAAAATTCCTCATTATCCCCAATCCATCACGAAAATGCAAATCAAAAACACAATGAGATTTCTTCTCACTTCAGTCAGAATGCATATTATCCGAAAGACAAACAAACAAAAAAAAAAAAAGAAAGAAAAGAAAACCCTAATCTCTGGTGAGGAGGCAGAGAAAACGAATTCCCTGCTCACTTTTGGGGAGAATGTAAATTAGTGCTGGCATTAAAGAAGCTTTATTGCTCTTATTTAAGTATAAACAGCCTTCAGAAATCTACAATTAGAACCACCCACTATATGATCCAGCAAATCAGAATACCCGGGCACGCCCGCCAGTACACAGATCAGTATGTTGAAGCGGTGCGCGCACCCATGCAATTATTGCTGCACTCATTACATTTTTGCTGTAGCCAAAATGCGGAAGCAACCTGAGTGTCCCTCCATTGATAAGTGGATTAAAAAATGGGGCAAAAACGCATATGCGCAACGGAAATATGCGCTGCAATAAGAAATCAGGAAATCCTGCCAGTTGTGAGAATGTGTGGGAATCTGCTGAATGTGTGCATGCCATTCTGTTAAGTGACATAAGCCAGGTATCAGAAATGAAAATAGCACATGATCTCATTCTTATATGAAATCAAAAAAGCGGACTTCACAGAAGTAGTGACTCCAATGACTGCGGTGAAGAGGGTGCACTGACGAGATGCTGGATGAAGAACTCATACTTCTAGTTATAAAGGAGGAATAGGTTAAAAATATTTTCTTCAGCATGCTCACTATAACTAGTGGTAACATATTCTTTCTCTAAAAATATTCGAATACAGTGCAAGTCAAGTTTTTTCACAACAAAAATGACAACTATGTGAGGTCACACATATGTTGATTGGCTGGATGTATCCAATGCATAATGTATATGACCTGTTGAACATCACGCCTTAAGTTGTAAATATGTATCATTTCATATGACATTTTTTAAACAAACATACAATTTTTAAAATGCCTTAACAAAATAAATGCAAATAAAATATTTTATTATAAAGCAGTGCTTTTCTTTTCTAGCAAAGTCTTTTTCATGACACAGGAAAGAATGCAAGCCGTTTCGTAACTTGAGAAATAAATACATATGTGTACATGTATATATATACGTATATACATGTATATACGTATATAAATGTGCATATATACGTATATACATGTATATACATATATATGTGTGTACATAGGTATTCTTATATACATATATATATATATATATATATATATATATATATATATATATATGAAAATCCCAATGAATGCTGATGATGAGTTGAAAGATAGAAATTCCAGGCACAGAGACTACAGTCCATGAATTGAAACCTTCAGTGCATGTTTCAAAACAAGACGTGAGGAGGAGGAAGAAAAAAGCAAAAAACACAAAGCCATGGCAGGGCCATGGGTCACACCTGTCATCCCAGCACTTTGATAAGCTGAGGTGGGAGGATTGCCTGCACTCAGGAGTTCCAGATGAGCCTGGGGCAACATGGACCCACATTCAAAAAGTAAGTATTTAGTTAATTAATACATAGCTTGGAGGGGTGGCATGCACCTGTACTGCCAGGTGTGTGAGAGTCTGAGTTGACAGGATCACATGGGTGTGTGGTGCCTGGGCTGCAGTGGGCTGAGATCGTGGGGCTGCTGTCCAACCTAGAAGACAGAGTAAGACCCATTCTCGGAAAACAAACAAAAAAACAGTCACATTAGGTAAATTAAAACTATGTAGTGTGAGGAGAATCAAAATAAACGAAACATCATTAGAGCCTACGCGATGTGATGAAGGAAACCAGCTTTCACATAATAACAGCCCCGGCTGGGGAGAACAATGAGAAAGGGCAGAGAGAACCCTGTAAATAATACCACGCCAAATTCCCCAAATGAGTTAAAACACATAAAAGTACGAAGAGTGCTTCTTTTCAATTCAATGCCCTTGAATTCAGAATTAGAAAGTAAACCCAGATAGAGAATAGAAACATAGACGATACAGATGGAGAGAGTGTGGTGGGGAAGCAAGGGAAGGATGAAAGGAGGGGTGTAAAGGAAGGAAAAGAAAAAAGGAAGGGAGAGAGAGTGACAGATGTTCAAAGACACAGATACAAAGTCTACAATGGTTGTAGAGATAGGCATGTGCAAATTGTCGCAGGGAGTGTGGAAAAATATCGGAACCACGGAGACACAGGTGGAGTCAGAGAAAATATACAAACCCGCACAGAGAAATAAACATACGCAACCACAAACACACACGTGCTACTTTAAACACGAAAAGACACCAAGTCCCTGTCGGTACAAATCACAGATGTGCTTCCGAGTTACTGAGGCACGGTGCAAATTTGTCAGTGCCCTTAGCATCTGTGGCCCACGTGCACGGATATTCAGTGGAAGAAGCATTACACAGCCTGTATAATTCAGCACGATCTGTGATAATACCAGAAGAAGGGATCTCATGTGAAATCACTAGACTGAATTGCACGTAGGATTCAAGGAAGAAGCCCAGTCTGCTGCATTCACTCGGTGGGGTGGCAATATGGCTGAGCCACCAACCCGTGGCACGCCCATCCATCGTAGACAGTTCCTGGTTTGCTACCTGCCTTGGAAAAAGCTCCTCCCCTACCACCACTTTAAAACAGGCTAGCTCCAAAACTAGCCCTGGCATCTATTTACGGTCATTTTCTTATCTATTTACCTCCTAGAAAAATCATTGCAAGACCCTTTCCTCAACATTTTCCTATGCCTTAAATTTGGGGCAACACGTTTTAAGACGACCTCGTTATAGGCAAGTCCCCAGACGTTTCCTAATCTGAGTTGCCCAGAGTGCACACACCAATCTGTTGCCCCATTGCCGCTATAGGGATACCGTACTGGACCACAGTGTCTTTGACATGCACACAGTAGGATAGAGGGCAGCTTGAGGGGGCCAAAGGGTTCCGACTGTTTTCAGAATAATTTGCTTAGAACACCTGTTTCTCCTGTGTTTGTGGGTCAGGGGGACGGTAGTCAGAGGAGGACAAGACTCCCGCTCCAGAGCTTCAGAGGTCTGCATAGGAGCAGGGACAAAACCGGGCGATAGATTTTCAAAGCTCAACTGCTTTGACACCGAGCAGGAGGGGTAGAATGCATATTGCAGGCACCACAACAGATTCAGGAACTTTGACTGTCAAACCCTCTTCCCTGAAACAACATAGCTCTTCTCACAGAAGCTGTGCTGACCAGAGTCTATACGGGACAGCAATGTTAGCACTCTAGTAGCGTGTGGTCAACATGGATGCTCGTGTTGGAACTGTTTCATCTGGGAACAGGAAAGAAAGTTCTGCCTCCGACACTGAAATCCTCCTGCCCCATCCTTGACAGAGGCAACCCCTTGTCTTGTGCAGACACACGTGTTCCTGGGAAGCAGCCTCCCACTCGCGAATGAAAGCTGTATGTTTTGTCCTCCTGTGTGAGGCTTGCAAAACATATTCCGCAACTATATTCGCTTTACGTTCTAAACCTTAGGCAAACTATGCTGAAGAGGCCACAGAAAATTTAGGGGCCCTGGGCTCCAGATACAATCTGCAGTGCCAATCACGAGGGAGAATAGAGCCTCACTAGACTTTGCAAGAGCACAAAATGCACTCGTACTGTTGTTAGCTACATACGTTATTGGCTCCTCACCTAACACAGAATCTTGGAGAAAAGCTTAAAACAACTAAAGATGTAAACATCAACAAGAGTGTCCATATCCTGGGTCATCAAGTGACAAGAGAGTCCATGGATGGATTCTCCAACAATCTTATATTCCACTAATCCACCCCCTTTCCCCTCACTTCTGTAAGTTTCTGTTTTCCCTTAGTCATCTCTGCCAAAAGCGTATCCTGAATGCCTTCCCACATGCCTCTGTCACCTTTCCCACAGTCCCTCCATACACCTTACATGCCCATTTCTTCTCACGTTGATGTTTCAGAAGTCCTGAGAGGCTGATTGTCCCAGAAAAGGATCATGCATTCACCTTTAAAAGAACATGTGGATTCAACACGAAAGCGAACTTTAAGATTTCCATCATCCTGTGCTTAGCTACTGTGTATGATGATACCCAAAATGAAGGATTTTGGAGGTCCCAGCAAACTGGGCCCTGGAAACCCAGTAACCCCTTTCCTTGAACTATCTCTGCTTCCATAGGACGAAGTCAGCCTCCAACTAAGCTGTCTTTTGCTTTTACCTCTCCCACTCTGTCCTGTAGGAAGAATCCCAACACATCCCACACCCATTCACTCTACAACTTTAGAGGCCCAGCTCCAACGCAGACTGGTTATTTCCATGAAGAGAATAAAGCACGTGGATTGATCAATTCATTATGACACCCGAATAAAGTGGATAAACATACACACACACACACACACACAGACACACACACACACACAGACACAGAGTCACACATCCTTGAGAATGTTTATTTTTCATTCCATACAATCCACATTTACCCCCTCTTCCTGAATTTTTGTGACTCGATCTCTTTTTCCTTTAGTTCCTGTGCATAAGACCATGCTGAGTACTGCCGTCCTGCATATGGCTGTAACTTTTTAGGAGTTCTGCTGTATTAGGTAAAATCTGATGCTCCATCATATTCAACTCAACAACTGGGAGTCCCCTAGAGAAACACAAACTCATGTTAAAACGCATTTTCTCTGAGCCATACTTTGAAATGTTTCAATTGTGGGGCCCGCTGAGAAAAGGATATCCCTTCCCCATTTGTGATCCCTTAAACTTCCTCCTACCACGTGTTACAAACTGTTCTGCGCAATCCCTGCCCCATTCCCAGTATTGTCTGTGAGGGGAGTCAGCTAACAAGATGCACTGGGCCCTAAAAGCACACACAAGTCTGATGGGGCAACAGCTTAAGGAAATCCATCAATCTAAACAGTCCTTTGTGGTTTGGGGCAAGGATGACCAGGACGCACATTCAGGGAGCCCAATCTCATGGGGTTGGTGGGATGACTGCCGGTGGGGTTGACAGCCGTGGAATCAAGTGCCACAGACTGAACTGAATGATTTTCAGCTTTACTTCTCATTGATTCTGGAAATGGACGATTCTTCACTGGGCTTAAGACTCCACAGCTATCACCCGCTTTGCAGTGCAGTCTCTAACGTGCCTTTTCAGCCCAATGCCATGAACGTCCTGGATTCTGTCACTCTGTCTTCCTCTCAAGGAATTTCTACATGTACGAAAGGAGCCTCAGTTTCTACATTTCTGAAATGAGCACCCAGGCTCCCTGAATAGGCAGGTGTGTCAACCCCCTTATACTGCGCATCAAACAGCTCCAGTGCCAACTAACGGCTCACCTGACGTCTCTGTTCCCTCTTCAGGTGGCTTCATCCTCTTGTAGTATTGCAGGGGATTGCGCCACAGGTCCTTACATAGGATCTGTCAGGGGACTCAATCGGGAAAGGCCTCATCAGGGCTCAGAAAGGTGACCCAAGCAGCTGGGAACACACGGGGTCATTCCTCATGTTTCCCAGTGAGGACTCACCTCAGCAATCTTGTTAGATCCTGCGAAGTTGTGGTCAGAGAACCAGTTGAAGAAGTTAAGGCTGCTGTTGTGGTGTCTGCGGCGATAGGCCTCCACTTCATAATCCGGATACCACTCAATTGGAGTGGAATGAGAAGCCCTGTATTCTACAGAGACAGGAGTTTTTGTGGGAAGGGGGCTGGATCCCGTTGGCAATGATCCACCCACCATCTTCCTTCCACTACCCATCCTGGGAGCCACCTGTCACCTGTGATGTTCACCAGATATTCCTTGGTAATCACTTTATTCTGGAAGTAGGGGTTACTCCGAAAGAACAACATGATCTTGCAGAGATGAACAGGATGCTTCTCTTCTTCCACCTGTCAGGACAAGGTGGAGAAAGCTTAGATAGGTTTTCGGGTGAGGTGCTCACTCTTGCTTACAGGAATGAATTATTTCCCTTACCCTCCCCCGCTAAACCCTCTAGCCCCAGTCTTCCTGGCCTCACCTCCAGGCTGACCATGTAGCTCAGCATGTCTTCATCTTCGTCAGTGATCAGGGCTGACATCTGGGGGTGGTTTGCAATCTGATTTAGGTCAAAGAGACTTTACACACGATGGAAGGGAAAGCGAGGAGCAACAGGGAAGAAGGCCTAAGAGCACCCAGAGGCTGGGGTAGGGGATTTCTCAGATCTGCTTCCATGTATGATCTCCTTTCGCCTCCCCGTCCCCGTAAACTAAGGCCTCCTGTGTTCACAGAGGGTGTATGATTCTGAGGCTGACTGCACTGACATGGGGAGGCGCGATTTGCAGAGACTTGCTGGTGTCTGAGGAGTGGCAGAATCTGCTTATAGCCGAAGACGCCCAGTCCCAGATCGGACTAGCAAGGGGCAGCAATCACACTCCCTTAAAAATAGCTTCATTCACTGAAAAACCTCTTCCGCTCTGAACTCGCTTCTGCTCTTCAAAAAGATGCCCCAAACGTCTGCTGCTCGGCATCACCAAGGGTTTCTCTGCCGCATGCAGGACAATAGTACCCACGCCTGCTCCGGCTTTCCACAGCCACACTGGTCCGTGGCAACTCCCCTTTGTTCCCCAAAGAGTCACATCGACGCCGAGCTGCCCATCGGTCACTTACACTTCCCCGAGAGCACCTCTCCACTAGAAAGGCCGAAGAAACACTGAGAAGGATACAACATTGGCCCAGAAGCCAGGGACGCTCTGGATGACGGCGCCTCTGCGGTCTAGCTGGGGCTTGCGCCTCCGCTCCATCTTTTCCCGCTGCCGAGAAAAGGCCTTCCTGGCTTGGGCATTAACCGGCTCCAGCTCCACCTGAACGGCCAGCAGCTCCTCCAGTGCAGACTCTGGGGTCATGGGCCCAGGGCCAGGCACAGCCTGCTGTGCCCGCTGGGCCTCCTCCCGCCGCTCCACGAGGCCCTCCTCCTCCGCCACCACCTCCACCTCCGCCATTATGTCATCCAACAGCAGCACCGCCTCCTCCCCCAAAGCCGCCTGCTCACTCTCCACCCCGGCCGCCCCCTCCTGTACAGCCTCCATCCTGAAGGCGGTGCCCTCCTTGGCACTCGCACACACCAAGGCCTGTGCTGCCCGACCCACGCCACAGAAACCCTGCCGCAGCCTCTCTGGCACCCGGTAGGTCAGCGAGCCCTCAGGGCGCATGCGCCGGGCTTCCAGGCGCCCCCTAAGGGACTGCGCGCGAAGGGCCGGGGGGCCGCACCCAGGCCGACTTCCTCCCGTCGTGGCCAGTCAATGGGAGGGCGGTGGGCGTCTCCCTGGGCGGCACAGCCACTGGCGGGCCTGCATCTCCAGCCCCCCCACCCCCCGCCTTCCCTGCCCAAGCCTCCTCCGAGAAGCCCTTGGAGCTTGTGCCGGGTAGCTAGGCATCCGGGCACACGCGGGCTGCGTGGCCTTTGGAATTGTGGGCATGGCAGCCCTGTGCCCTGACATCCTCAGTGTGGCAAGCCATGAACATCTCTATGTGTCATGAACACAGGAAACATCTCTCTTCGTTAGGCAGGCCAGGTAGATGGTACGGAGGTAATACAGCAGATGCAGAGAACTCTCTCTGGTTGCTGGGGCTAGGGCGGCAGGGGTGTCCTGGGGGAAGTGATCGGGGCGGGCACGTGGGAGGAAAGTCGCCTGCCGGTGCTGAGGTGGAATTGATCTGCTGTAGAGGCCAGAGCCCCGGCACACACTCTCACAGGTCGAGGCAAATAGAGGCTCCGAGTACCATGCTTCCTCCCTGAGGATGCTGTACTCCAAGGAGCATTCCAAAGGGCCTCTTGTCCTATGCCCTGGGCACACCAGAGGCCAGCCGCCAGGGTTGGCCATTGTCGGCCTGCGCGCACGCTGTTGTGCGCTGCCTTGACGACCCAGAGGCTCCCGCACCCGCAGCAGCGGTTGCGGTGCCTGTTGGTGGGGCTCTGCAAGCCCAGGGCCGGGGCCTCTGGCTCCCGAGCTCCTGTGCGCAGTTGAGCCTGCTGGGGACCGGAGCCCTTTGGCCAGTGCGGGATCTGCGGGTCCAGCGGAGCTCCTCAGGAAACCTGGGTCCACGTAGGTGTGGGACCAGGTTCACAGCAGGGCGACGCCCGTGGGTCTTGCAGGGAGCGGGTCTGCTGGGGAGCGGGCCCCCAGAGCCTACGGGTGCGGGGCATGGGCTGGGCTGGGCTGGGCTGCGCAGGCCCAGGGTCTGTGGGAGCACCCAGGAGAAAACCGTGTTCAGGCTGGAGGCAATGCTGGAGAGGACGGCCGGGGTACAGAGCAAGGAGGCGGCCTTGGAAGAGGAGGCGGTGCTGAAGGTGGAAGACATCATGGCTGAGGTGGAGGTGGTGGTTGAGGTGGAGCCCGACGTGGGGTGGCAGAAGGAGGGCCAGCGGGCACAGCCTGGCCCTGGACCGAGCACACCGGGGCCGTCAATGGACTCGCTGGAGGTCCTTCACTTGGAGCTGGGCTCCGTGAATGCCCCAGGCCACAGAGCATCTCCGCCTTGTGAGCCAGAGCCATATCCTTGCGGCTGCCGATTTGGGATGGCGGGCAGCAGGGGATAGTCATCGGGCCTCGGGGGGTATGGGGGCTGTTTGCGGGGAGGAGCCAGGTGGGAGGCACGTGGGGTCAGCCAGGAGGCAGGGGATGGGGGACAGCGTGGGAGCCGAGGCCACGTTCCCGCAGCTGTGAGGGCAGCTCGCTTGTAGCAGCCCTGGGAGCACGTGGTAGGGAAGGGGAGCCAGGGCCAGCACTGACAAGGGAGAATCGCGGCGCCAAGGTCCCTTTGCGCACAGCCCAAATTCGAAGGACGCGTTTCCCTGGGAACGTCCCTGGAGGACGGGGAATCTGTATGCCATTACCAGCCATTGAACCACCCCTGCTCTCGGTGCCTGTTTCCAGCAGGCTCACCCCAGAAACGCAAGGTGCTTAAGACGGGTTCGCGGCGCATGGGGCTGCCGACCACCTGACGGCGGGCACCAGCTCCGCAGATGCGCATTCATCCAACTGCAGGCGCTGCACTCAAAGGCGTGTAGGCCCTGAGCCTGTATAACTTCCTCTGGACCCACGCAATTCCCTTGAGAGCGCCAGGCACGACCCTGCTGTGGCTTCTAACTACAAGGCTTCCCTCAGGTGGACAGGCCCACCCCTCAGGGAGACTAGGATAAGAGGACACCACACACCCGGACATCAGCGGAGCATGTCCAGCACCCAGCACACAAAGGCCTCCTGCATCTCAGAAACCCAGAGAAGCAGCCGCCTCACACCACCCCCGGTCCCTCCCGTCCCTCAGCTGCAACCACCTGCCCACTTTTTCTGCCTCCCGTCTCTGGTCAGCCCAGGCCGTCTTGGCCGGGGTCCACCCACTCCAAAAACCACCACAGTTGTGGCGTTGCCTCCTCGCCAGACAGAGATAGAGGGCCAACAATGAAGGGTGACTGGCCAAATGTCTGGGAGATGGCCCTGTTCCACATTGTCTGTGTTCTTGCGAAATTGCAAGGCGTCACGAGGCTTGCCCACCCAATCCTCTGGAGAGTTCTTGCGCAGAGGTAGATTGTTTGGCACACGAGATGTCGGCGTGGGTCGGAAAGCATGCGGAAGTCCTGCTTTGCTACGTGATGGATTTGCAGGTCAGGCTGGGGAGCCTGGGTCTGTGGGAGGAGTCCAGTGTCTGAGTCAGTTTGAGGTCCCCCTGGGGACCAGGGTTGTCTCAGTGGGAGAGCTGGGAAGGGGAAACTCATGGTTCACTACAGCTAGTAGGCCACCTCAGCCCGGCTAGTTGAGATGGTCCCATTGAATCCATCCTCTTTCTCCTTGATCCGGCAGGTGGAGGAACTCAGCCATCCCGGTTACCGGTGGCAGGATGATTTCCTTTCATCCCAACCTTTATTTCCACAGTGAAATCATCATGAAGGAGCACTGTGTTGGCATCCTCGGTAAGGAATGCCTCCCAGCATGGTAGGGGAGCTGGTGTGTGGGAGGGTGGGACTGGCATGAACCTTCCTGACTCCTCTCCCTGCAGGCTACAGGGTGTCTCATTCCACTGCAGTCCAGCGGTTCTGGGATCACGAAGGTCAAGCCTCCAGCTGCAGGCAGTACACCTCCTACCTGAGCTCATTCAGCTGTTTGGCTGAACATGACTGCCCGGGTTTTGGCAGGATTGCTGAGGTGGGGTTCGCCGTGGGGCATCATGGGAAAGGACCTAGCTGGTCATTCCTTGGTCTCTGGGGAATTGGCTTTGAACTGTCACCTGAACTGTCCTGGACCCACTTCTGCAGTCCCCTAGATCATCAGCCAGGGCCTATGGCTCAATCCATTGCAGTTCTATCCCATGGAGAGAGGGTCAGCCCTAGAGGCGGAACAGAGAGGAGGCCAGGCGAGCAGCCTAGGGCTGGGAAGGGCTGGGAACTGAGAGGCCTTTTGACCTGGATCTGGGCCCCACATGGAGAACCCAAGGATCCGGGAGGAGACTGCAGTGAGCAATCCCAGGCAATCCGTGGGTTGGGGGAGAGAGGCCCATCAGGGACATGTAACACCCACATTTCAGGATCGGGGCACCTTAAGCCACTATGATGCATATGTGGCTAAAGTCAGTGGGTGACAAGCAGGGCTTAAGGGATAGCTGTCTCATCATTACTCGCCAGCTCCCTGCCCTGCGGTAAGACCTGCTACCACCTGGGGCTCATTTTGAGATCAACCAGGGCCCCCTTTTTCTCCACGAGGATGTCCACCTGAGGCCCACCTAGGTGTATGTCCTTTCACAGTGTTTCTCCCAGGCCAGTCATGTTTTGTTTCCATGACCCCGGCTGCCTTGACATGTGTAATCCTCTCTGCCATCCTCACTCCCGCTGCCCTGCCTTCCCATATAAGTTAGTCCACCTCACACGGAATCTGGAGGACCACACTGGGCTCCAGTGTGAGGCAATGTTTTATTTTCTTCAGGTACATGTATTTTAGGGCTACCTCCAGGGCTGGGAATGTGAAGAGATTGCCAAATGGCTGGGGACCTTCAGTGTGTGTCCAGGGAGGGAACCCGGCTGGGAATTAAGGCCCACCTGAGTAATGGTATGGACATCCAGTGTCAGTTATCTTGATAAAGGCCTGCTTTCTTACATCACCTACTATTAATATAAAAGTTAATTCCTTAGAATATTGAAAAAACAAATCTATGTGTGAAGAAATATAATTTGTTCATAATTGTATGGAAAAAGCTGCCGACCGATCCATTTTCCATTACAATTCTTATGGGAGACTTGAAGGGTTTAGCAAGTTTTAAGATGCATTTCTATTCGTCTACTCCTGCCAGTTTTTATGATCATTTTTGTAATACAAGGACATGGCCTCTGGAAAGTTTTTGAGGGACTTTCAGCTTCTTTTAGGGTAGATACTTGTAAATTTTGAATTGTTTTCCCCTGCGGTTCTTTTGAGGTTACTCTTTGTACTTTCTTTGGGGGGTGTTAAATTTGTTTTCTTCTTTTGCCCTTGTGGAACTTTCGTTTTCAAGGAATTGTGTGTGTGTGTGTGTGTGTGTGTGTGTGTGTCTGTGTGTTAGATATGGGAGATAGCCTGTGAGCATGTTTTCGAATATGGATTTTTTTTTTACTTATCAATTTTGGGGGTGTGTGTGTGTGTGTGTGTGTGTGTGTGTGTGTTTGTTTCTTTTCAGTTGGAGTCTCACTGTGTCATCCAGGCTGCAGTCAAGTGGCAAACTCTCAGATCACTGCAACCTCTCCCTCCAGCTTCAAAGGATTCCTCTGCCTGCTGATGCTGCTTTTCCCCCACATGAGGAGAACATGCAGACAGTTATAAAAAATTCTGTGCCTGGGTAGGTATGAAAATATAATTTCAATGAATGGTAAATTTCACAAATACAGTTTCACATTTGTATTTTGCAACATTTTGAAAATTTTAGTTGCTGACACATGAAATTCTGTGTTGACTTTCATGTTAAATGTACACTTTTGAATCAATTTCAACAGTGACAACTAGCGAAGGCCAAGCGTTAGTTCAGGAAGCTGAAAGCAGTCGTTCTGTAAAAAAAACGATATTTATTGAAGGTATATTTAGAGAGATTTTAGAAGGCTTCAGTCAATATTTTTGTTTCTGTTGCTCTGGTGTTTTATCATACAGGGACCAGACTGTAGCATCAGTAGCTATAGTTACAAGGCTACCAAAGACTCAGTGCTATAGAAATTATTATTGTGGAAATTGGCAGCCTGGCTGTCTGTTTGAGGAGACTAGAGGACTTAGGAGTTTCCACCCAAAGTACAAGGGCCTGGTTTAGTGGGTGGCCTTCTTTTGCTGAAGTAGATAAGATCCAGGAGAAGGGTGGATTCACTGTAGTAGCCAGGGCTTTGAGACTGGTAAAGCTTATTTGTCTCCTAGTGCCATTGCCAGATATTGGTCTGTGCATAAAGGCACTTCCCGGACTCGCTGACTCCTGTAAATTCAAATGTAGAATTTAGATTTAAATCCCTATTCCAACTTCTTAAACTTAGATCTAATAGGTGGGTAATAAAATATGTATTCAGAAGAAAGGGAGACGTCAGGTAGGTATATAAGCAAATCATCCTGGTCAAATACCTTCAAAAATATTACTACAAAAAATTACTGAAGATTAAACCTTAAAAAAGTTATTTTAATTGGAGAAACAGAAAAAGGTTGGAGTCATTTTAAACCCTGAGGTGTAAAGGTACTGTTATTAGATTACAGGAATTATATACAATGAATAATTTGTGGGAAGAGCAGCATACTATCTCTTTAGTATGGCTAGAGATTCATAAGCCGTGTAAGAAAACTCAGAGATTGAGAAGAAAATGTTTTCAGGGATTTTGTTCTGTTATGAAAGACTTTTAAAATGGTTTCCTACTGATCAATGATTCACTTATATTTATCACTGAGGCATATGCTATATACCCTTCTATATAGGGATGAAGTTATAGTTTCTATCATGTAGATACAAAAACATGTGACTCTGTACCACATTTGCATTAGAGCCTTTGGCATGATTAATGAAGCAAACGGTGGAACTGTCTACGTCAGGTTACAGGTGGGCACAGCTGGAAGCTTCCGTCCCTTGCACTTTAACATTTCTGCATTCTCATCTGTCTCTCCTGGAAAGAAAACGGACTATAACTATCCTAAAGGACATATGTTACATGAAGACACTAAGTATTGAGATAAGACCATGAGTTGTCTTATCAGTGTCTTGGCATTACATTTATATGTATAACTTATACAAAAAATCCAGTTTATTTTATCACGATTACATATTACATCCCACATTTATGTATTTTATTATCTTTCCAGTGACTGTTTTGTTTTGTTTTGTTTTGTTTTGTTTTGAAATCTCGTTCCACTCTGTCACTCAGTCTGGAATGCAGTGGCCTGATCTCAGCTCACTGCAACCTCCATCTCTTGGGTTCAAGGATTTTAAAAATTAGTAAAGAATTTTCAATTGAGTTAGCAGAAGTAAAAATAAACTTAAGTGGAAATAGAACAACAAAATTGTAAACACTATTTCTCAGCAATTCATAGATTATCATACTAGGAATTGAAATGTACTTAGAACTCAATGATACCGCCAATATTAAAGATTAAATCTGTGAGTAGCAAGAAAAGTGATATTACAATAGGAGTTTACAGACAAATATTTCTCTAATAACTTGAAAATTAATGTACTAGATATTTCAATAAAGAATTAGAAAAGAAACAACAGAATCAATTCTGAAAAACTAAAGTGTGGGAATAATGATGTAGACAAAATTAGTAAAACATACAAAGCTAACCTTTGCTTGTTGGAGAAATATAATAAGTGATGCAACCGTCAGTCAAGTTTAGAAAAAAAGGGAGAAAACATAGATAAAACTAAGAATTTAAAAGGTACACAACCATAGATACAGCATAGATTAAGAAGCTAATAAGGAAATATCGTTAACACCTTAACCTACAAATTTGAAAACTTAGGTCAAATAGACAGATATTTATAATCTGTCTATATATATAGACATATATATCGCTTTCTATATATATTTTCATATTTATACATAATTTTTATATTTGTATCTTACATTTATATATATAATATATAAACATAAGCTATGTATATAGCTTAGTAAAATTGATACAAGAAGACATATATAATCTGTATAGTCTCATAAATGTTCAAGGAAATAAAGGATTCTTCCTAGAGATAAAACGCTAGGCTCAGATTTTTTTCCCCAGGCAGAGCATTTCAATATATATGAAGAATTCTATAGAATAAAAAAGGGAAAATCCTAAACTCATTGTGTGAAGCAAGCAGAACTTTGACGCCAACAAGCCATAAACTGAGTGTAGAAAAAGATATGAAAATTAAGGCCATTCTCATTCCTGAAGCAAATCGTAAAATCCCAAATGTAACAAGATTTATGTGGATTCTTTGAGGGTTAGAAGGAAATTTCCTTCTGCCAGATCCTGCTACTCTGGGACAACCCACACACAAATTTATGTTTTGAGATTTTCTGTAATACCCATGCAATATGGAACTGGCTTGACAATCTGTGTGATAGCCAGCCTGTGGCCATGACTTCTCAGGGACACAAATCTTTTCTGTTTGCCTCCTTGTTCTGCTCAGCTCCAAGAGAACTTTGACCAAAGTTCCTTGAGCTTGGAAATAGGAATGGGTTTGCTTCTGTTTCACCCTTACTGTGAAGATACAGTCCGGTGGAATCCAGATCCACTGGGAGAGAGTCGGCTATTAAACTCTTTTCATGAGTAGTCCCTAGGCCTTGACTGGAGTCTTTCTTGAGATATGAGGCTAATAGTTCCTTCTTGGTCCACCACTTTTTGATATAATTAATGCTTCTTCTATTGGGAATTTTTAATTGTTTGGGAAGTGACATGGTTTGGTGTGTCTCCATTCAAATCTCAGCTTCAATTGTATCTCCCAGAATTCCCTCGTGTTGCGGGTGGGACCCAGGGGGAGGTAATTGAATCATGGGGGTCGGTCTTTCTCATGCTATTCTTGTGACAGTGAAGAAGTCTCACGGGATCTGATGGGTTTTTCAGGGGTTTCTGCCTCAGGTTCTTCCTCATTCTCTCTTGGCATTGCCATGTAAGAAGTGCCTTTATTCGTATACCATGATTCTGAGGCCTCCACAGCCATGTGGAACTGTCAGTCCAATTAAACCTCCTTTTATTCCCAGTTTCAGGTATCTCTTCTTCAGCAGCGTGAAAATGAACTAAGACAGGAGGTTTGGTCCAAATAACCTTGGCTTCCATGACAGAAGATAGAAGTTGCTGAAATGTTTAATCTTTTCTGTGGCAACCTTTTGCAGTGGGTCTTATTTTTCTCATTTTTTTTTTCTTGTTCTCTTCACCTTTGTTTCTCACAGGGTACTCTCGCTCTGTAGACCAGGCTGGAGCGCAGTGGCAGGATCTCAGCTCAACACATCCTCCGCCTCCCAGGTTCAGCCTCTGCAGTAGCTGGGATTACAAGCATGCATCACCACGCTCAGCTAATGTTTTGTAGTTTTAGTAGAAGCCAGGCTTCACCATGTTGGCCAGGCTGCTCTCCTACTACAGATCTCAGGTGACCCGCCCGACTCAGCTTCCCAAAATCCAAAGTGCTGGGAATACAGGTGTGAGCCACCGAGCCCAGCCAACTCCAGTACTTTTTACCTAAGCCAGTGGACGAGTGGAGTTGCCTTTATTTTTTTTTTTTCTTTTTTCAGTCATGGTCTCGCTGTGTCATCCAGGCTGGAGTGCAGTAGTCTGATCTTGGCTTACTATACAATCTCTGCCACCCATGTTCAGGTGGTTCTCCTGCCTCAGCCTCCCAAGTAGCTGGGACCACAGGAAAGTGCCACTAGGTCTGGCTAATTTTTGTATTTTTGGTAGAGACAGCTTTTTGCCATGTTGCCCATGCTGGTCTCCAACTCCTGACCTCAAGTGACCCACCAACCTCGGCCTCCCAAAATGTAGAAATTACAACAAGAGCCACGAAGCCTGGCCTGGAGTTGTGGCTTTTTGACATAAGAAATCTGTGGAGGGAAAAGCTTGCTTTGTGGGAGCACCCGAGCTCAGTTTGGCTCAAAGGTTTGGGATACCTATTATTGAGTGGCAGTGATGGTATGTTGTTAATGTACAATATGTTCCTGTATATAGCATACGTCTATGCTCATCAGATATTTTCAGGTAAAAAAAAGATAGTCTTTCCAGTAGTTTGAGCCATTATAGCAATTTCCACCAGGGGATTTCAAAGTCCAATTCCAGTTGTGGGCAACAGTGATTAACATAATGGTAATTAATGAGAAGAGATTTTGAGACGTCCAGCCACGTTTCCATGTCAGTGCCTTGTTTGCAGTATTATGAAGAAAGAGTGCATTGGACTAGATACTAAGAAAAACATTGAATTATTTTTCTTGCCTCTATAACATCAAAGGACAATTAGAGATATAGAAACTATGGAACATTTCACAGCATGGCTTGACATTTCACTGAACTTTTATCCTTTTAACCATGTACAAAGTTTGTTACCTATGCAAAGGTAGGACTGCAAAAGGAAGACAGAGGTGGAGTCAGAGGTCACAATCCACAGCAAGGTGACACTCTTGTTGATCGCACCTTGAAAGCCAAATTAGAGCGAGAATTAACTTTCCGGTTGCCGTAAGAGAACAAGGAGAATGAAGCTACCAGCAGTTAACAGTATTGGATTAATTGAAATGAAGGTGGACAGAGTTTTTTGGCTTTCCATCAAATTGAGTAAAGAAAAGGTAACCGCTTATCTAATTTCACACACATACAATTATGGATTAATTAAAAGGTTACACAACCCATATATTATGGGTTTCTCATATAAGTGTATATATACATGGGCAAACTCACAGTGTGCCAGTATGTGTCTATATCCAAATATATACAAATCCATGTCCAACAGTTAGCAAGTGAGAAATTCTCTTCCATTTCACCATTCCCTTTCCTAGAATTTTTTCATAAATATAATTTTTCCATATATTTGAAGCCTACTCTCTGGAGGCATGTAATGCATGCATGCAGTAAACCTGTGCGATATCACAATGTTGGTGTCAGAGAAAACTATAACACCGATGTTATAAAAGATTAATTGTGAGGAGAAAGTTATGCTTCGCATTACTACAAATACACAAGTATGATTTCATCCAAAGCTGAAATCAGTCAATATAATTTGTTTTTAATGTTTTATTTAAAATCCTTAATTTCAACAGGATTACTCAAGAAAAATAACGTTATTGGTATTAAATAATGTTGACGTATTCCCTTTAATTGTTGATTATTTAAAATGTCAGTAAAATAGTAAATGGCACTGTACAATGTAGTTTCATGAAGCATTCTTTATAGTTTTCATAAAATTGATAGTCTCCATGGAATATTTTAAGACTGAGGAAGTTCCATATATCATTTGATTGTACTTTCACTTTATTACTTGCTTGCATGTCATAACTGATGGAAATAAAACTATGTATATTTACAAATATGAAAAACATGGATTTTTGTTTACGTTTTCTAGTGAGACACAGTTACCAACAATTTTATCTATATAGGAAAATTTTTACAAACCCAAAGTTCTAATGTTTCTTTTCTTTGAAGTTTCGTATTTCAGTCTAGGTATGTAATGGAATTGGCTGTGATCATTCTTTGATTTCACTGTTATTTGTGAGTTTCTGATATGCTTTTAGGAATGAATAGAGTTTAACGCTTGCTTTCTTCTTCTTCCTCTACCTTTGGACCTGTATATGCGATGTCTGCAGTAATGTGCAGTGCTATCTGACATACGGTTGCTGAAAGATACAAGCATATATAGAATTCTTCGTTTCAGTGAATCTTTAGGAACAGACAAGTAACCTGAGAGATAATTACGGTATGAATGTAAGCAAGCAGTTTATCATAGAGGTACAATAAGGGTGAAAATAAATTTAAAAATACATGCCTCATCCAAAACATGAGGTAGTAAAAATGAAAAATTTAAGTTGGCATAAAGAACACTTTAAAAGTTCTGATTCTTTCTGGTGAGAGCAAGGAGCTCAGAAACCATGAGAAAGTCCTTCAAAGCTGCATGTTGGATTTGCAGGTCAGGATGGAAAGCCTGGGTCTGGGGGAGGGTGCTAAGGTCCTGGTCAGGTTGAGGTCCTTCTGGGGCTCAGGTGTGTCTCAGCGGGAAAGCTGGGAAGGGGAAACGCATGCTTCACCCCGGCTAGAGTGCCACCTCAGCCCACCTAGATGAAATTGCCCCTTCACAGCCCTGTTTCTCCTTCTTGGACAGGCAGGTGGAGGAACTCGGCCACCCTGAATACAAGGGGTAGGAAGAAGTTTGCCTTTCATCACAACATTTACTTCGGAAACAAAGTGATGACTAAGGAGTATTGCGTTGGCATCCTCCCTGAGGAGTAGAGGGGGTAGTACCTCGGGAGCTGGGCCTGGCGTGCGCCTTCCTGACTCGTCTCCCTCCAGGATACAGGGCGACTGGCTCCACTGCAGTCCAGTGGTTCTAGGGTCATGCAGGTGAAAGCCCGAGTTTCCCGCAGGTCACTGCCTGAGCTTCTTCAGCTGGTTGTCTGACTGTGAGGGCCCAGGTTACGGCACGATTGCTGAGGTGGGACAGCTATGGGACATCATGGCAAAGGACCTTCTTCGACATTCCTTGGCATCGGAGGAATTGGCTTTGAACCAGAACCTGACCTGTCACGACCAATTTGCCCAGTCCACCAGATCATCAGCCAGGGCCTGTGGCTCTATATTCTGCAGCACTACCCAAGGGAGTTAGGCCCTCAGAGAGGGAACAGAGAAGAGGCCAGGGAAGCAGCCCAGGGCTGGGGGTTGACAGGCCTGTGGGTCCTGGAGTTAGGACACACATAGAGAAGCCAAGGCTCAGGGAGGAGACTGCAGTAAGGAAACTCAGGCCATCATGGGCTGGTGGAGAAATGCCCATCAGGGAACTGTGGTACCCACATTTCACGATGGGGGAACCGTAATCTGCTTAATAGGCATAAGTAGCTAAGGTCAATGGGTGGGAAGCCAGGGTCAAGAGATAGCTGCCTCATCATCCCTTGCTAGCTACTTCCCTGTCCTGAGGCTTGCTTCTACCTGGGGTTCAGTTTGGGCTCAACCAGGGATCTCTCACCCTCCACACAGATGCCCACCTGAGGCCTCTCTAGGTCTGCGTCCTCCCAGAATGACTCTCCCAGGCCTGCTAAGTACCGTTTGGATGACACCACGCTCCACTGACATGCTTGGTTCCCTCCGCCATCCTCATTCACCCAGCAACTCCCCACCCCAAAAAAGGCAGGCCACCGCACAGGGAATCTGGAGGACCACACAGGGCTCACAGGGGAGGAAATGTGAAGAGATGGCAAAACAGAACAGGACATTCCGTGTGTTTCCAGAAGGCAATCTGGCTGGATATTAAGGCCCACCTCAGTATTGGTGAGGACACCCAGTGTCTCTTGGCCCTGAGCATGTGCACACAAACACGCACATTGTCTAAACGGCATTGACATCACTACTACCTGAGTCATCCTCAGATTCTATACAACCCCTGTAAAAATATCAATGACACATTCTTCTTAGAAAACAATCTGGGAATCCCAAATTTGCTATGAAATGGCAGAAGATCCTGAAAACCCAGAGCAATCCAGTAAAAAGCACAAAGCTGGAGCCACCCCACTACCTAACTTCATGATATACTACTACAAAACTTTTTGTACCAAAATACAATAGCGCTGGCAGAAAAGCAGAGACTAGAGCTTAGGAAAAACAACAGGAGCCCAGAACTAAGTCACTGCATTTGCAGCTCACAGCCTTTTCCCAAAGAAGCAAGAACGCCCAATGCAAAATCAAGTATCTTCTATAAACTAGGTTGGGGAAATCTGAATAGCCACACAAAGGATTTTACAAGTGGATTATTTATCACCAAACTCCAGTGTCAGATGTGAAACGATAAAAATAGCAGAAGAGATCACAAGGAAGCAGCTCCATGGCGTCCGTGTGTGCAATGATGGTCTCAAAGTGACTGCAAGAACACAGTAAACACCATCAAAAATAGAGAATGGAATCATATCAAACTAAAGTGCTTCACCACACCATAGAAAACTCAACATACAGAAGGGGCATCCTACAGGATGGGAGCAATGATTGGATCACCATACATCTGTTCATGGGGGAATAGTCACAGTACATAAGGAACTCCCAACAACTCAATAGCATGAAAACAAATGGGCGAAGGCTGCGAAGACTCATTTGTGAAACTGAGACATACAGTTGCCCAGAAGACACACTAAAAATTCCTCATTATCCCCAATCCATCACGAAAATGCAAATCAAAAACACAATGAGATTTCTTCTCACTTCAGTCAGAATGCATATTATCCGAAAGACAAACAAACAAAAAAAAAAAAAGAAAGAAAAGAAAACCCTAATCTCTGGTGAGGAGGCAGAGAAAACGAATTCCCTGCTCACTTTTGGGGAGAATGTAAATTAGTGCTGGCATTAAAGAAGCTTTATGGCTCTTATTTAAGTATAAACAGCCTTCAGAAATCTACAAGTAGAACCACCCACTATATGATCCAGCAAATCAGAATACCCGGGCACGCCCGCCAGTACACAGATCAGTATGTTGAAGCGGTGCGCGCACCCATGCAATTATTGCTGCACTCATTACATTTTTGCTGTAGCCAAAATGCGGAAGCAACCTGAGTGTCCCTCCATTGATAAGTGGATTAAAAAATGGGGCAAAAACGCATATGCGCAACGGAAATATGCGCTGCAATAAGAAATCAGGAAATCCTGCCAGTTGTGAGAATGTGTGGGAATCTGCTGAATGTGTGCATGCCATTCTGTTAAGTGACATAAGCCAGGTATCAGAAAGGAAAATAGCACATGATCTCATTCTTATATGAAATCAAAAAAGCGGACTTCACAGAAGTAGTGACTCCAATGACTGCGGTGAAGAGGGTGCACTGACGAGATGCTGGATGAAGAACTCATACTTCTAGTTATAAAGGAGGAATAGGTTAAAAATATTTTCTTCAGCATGCTCACTATAACTAGTGGTAACATATTCTTTCTCTAAAAATATTCGAATACAGTGCAGGTCAAGTTTTTTCACAACAAAAATGACAACTATGTGAGGTCACACATATGTTGATTGGCTGGATGTATCCAATGCATAATGTATATGACCTGTTGAACATCACGCCTTAAGTTGTAAATATGTATCATTTCATATGACATTTTTTAAACAAACATACAATTTTTAAAATGCCTTAACAAAATAAATGCAAATAAAATATTTTATTATAAAGCAGTGCTTTTCTTTTCTAGCAAAGTCTTTTTCATGACACAGGAAAGAATGCAAGCCGTTTCGTAACTTGAGAAATAAATACATATGTGTACATGTATATATATACGTATATACATGTATATACGTATATAAATGTGCATATATACGTATATACATGTATATACGTATATATGTGTGTACATAGGTATTCTTATATAGGTGTATATATATATGAAAATCCCAATGAATGCTGATGATGAGTTGAAAGATAGAAATTCCAGGCACAGAGACTATAGTCCATGAATTGAAACCTTCAGTGCATGTTTCAAAACAAGACGTGAGGAGGAGGAAGAAAAAAGCAAAAAACACAAAGCCATGGCAGGGCCATGGGTCACACCTGTCATCCCAGCACTTTGATAAGCTGAGGTGGGAGGATTGCCTGCACTCAGGAGTTCCAGATGAGCCTGGGGCAACATGGACCCACATTCAAAAAGTAAGTATTTAGTTAATTAATACATAGCTTGGAGGGGTGGCATGCACCTGTACTGCCAGGTGTGTGAGAGTCTGAGTTGACAGGATCACATGGGTGTGTGGTGCCTGGGCTGCAGTGGGCTGAGATCGTGGGGCTGCTGTCCAACCTAGAAGACAGAGTAAGACCCATTCTCGGAAAACAAACAAAAAAACAGTCACATTAGGTAAATTAAAACTATGTAGTGTGAGGAGAATCAAAATAAACGAAACATCATTAGAGCCTACGCGATGTGATGAAGGAAACCAGCTTTCACATAATAACAGCCCCGGCTGGGGAGAACAATGAGAAAGGGCAGAGAGAACCCTGTAAATAATACCACGCCAAATTCCCCAAATGAGTTAAAACACATAAAAGTACGAAGAGTGCTTCTTTTCAATTCAATGCCCTTGAATTCAGAATTAGAAAGTAAACCCAGATAGAGAATAGAAAGATAGACGATACAGATGGAGAGAGTGTGGTGGGGAAGCAAGGGAAGGATGAAAGGGGTGTAAAGGAAGGAAAAGAAAAAAGGAAGGGAGAGAGAGTGACAGATGTTCAAAGACACAGATACAAAGTCTACAATGGTTGTAGAGATAGGCATGTGCAAATTGTCGCAGGGAGTGTGGAAAAATATCGGAACCACGGAGACACAGGTGGAGTCAGAGAAAATATACAAACCCGCACAGAGAAATAAACATACGCAACCACAAACACACACGTGCTACTTTAAACACGAAAAGACACCAAGTCCCTGTCGGTACAAATCACAGATGTGCTTCCGAGTTACTGAGGCACGGTGCAAATTTGTCAGTGCCCTTAGCATCTGTGGCCCACGTGCACGGATATTCAGTGGAAGAAGCATTACACAGCCTGTATAATTCAGCACGATCTGTGATAATACCAGAAGAAGGGATCTCATGTGAAATCACTAGACTGAATTGCACGTAGGATTCAAGGAAGAAGCCCAGTCTGCTGCATTCACTCGGTGGGGTGGCAATATGGCTGAGCCACCAACCCGTGGCACACCCATCCATCGTAGACAGTTCCTGGTTTGCTACCTGCCTTGGAAAAAGCTCCTCCCCTACCACCACTTTAAAACAGGCTAGCTCCAAAACTAGCCCTGGCATCTATTTACGGTCATTTTCTTATCTATTTACCTCCTAGAAAAATCATTGCAAGACCCTTTCCTCAACATTTTCCTATGCCTTAAATTTGGGGCAACACGTTTTAAGACGACCTCGTTATAGGCAAGTCCCCAGACGTTTCCTAATCTGAGTTGCCCAGAGTGCACACACCAATCTGTTGCCCCATTGCCGCTATAGGGATACCGTACTGGACCACAGTGTCTTTGACATGCACACAGTAGGATAGAGGGCAGCTTGAGGGGGCCAAAGTGTTCCGACTGTTTTCAGAATAATTTGCTTAGAACACCTGTTTCTCCTGTGTTTGTGGGTCAGGGGGACGGTAGTCAGAGGAGGACAAGACTCCCGCTCCAGAGCTTCAGAGGTCTGCATAGGAGCAGGGACAAAACCGGGCGATAGATTTTCAAAGCTCAACTGCTTTGACACCGAGCAGGAGGTGTAGAATGCATATTGCAGGCACCACAACAGATTCAGGAACTTTGACTGTCAAACCCTCTTCCCTGAAACAACATAGCTCTTCTCACAGAAGCTGTGCTGACCAGAGTCTATACGGGACAGCAATGTTAGCACTCTAGTAGCGTGTGGTCAACATGGATGCTCGTGTTGGAACTGTTTCATCTGGGAACAGGAAAGAAAGTTCTGCCTCCGACACTGAAATCCTCCTGCCCCATCCTTGACAGAGGCAACCCCTTGTCTTGTGCAGACACACGTGTTCCTGGGAAGCAGCCTCCCACTCGCGAATGAAAGCTGTATGTTTTGTCCTCCTGTGTGAGGCTTGCAAAACATATTCCGCAACTATATTCGCTTTACGTTCTAAACCTTAGGCAAACTATGCTGAAGAGGCCACAGAAAATTTAGGGGCCCTGGGCTCCAGATACAATCTGCAGTGCCAATCACGAGGGAGAATAGAGCCTCACTAGACTTTGCAAGAGCACAAAATGCACTCGTACTGTTGTTAGCTACATACGTTATTGGCTCCTCACCTAACACAGAATCTTGGAGAAAAGCTTAAAACAACTAAAGATGTAAACATCAACAAGAGTGTCCATATCCTGGGTCATCAAGTGACAAGAGAGTCCATGGATGGATTCTCCAACAATCTTATATTCCACTAATCCACCCCCTTTCCCCTCACTTCTGTAAGTTTCTGTTTTCCCTTAGTCATCTATGCCAAAAGCGTATCCTGAATGCCTTCCCACATGCCTCTGTCACCTTTCCCACAGTCCCTCCATACACCTTACATGCCCATTTCTTCTCACGTTGATGTTTCAGAAGTCCTGAGAGGCTGATTGTCCCAGAAAAGGATCATGCATTCACCTTTAAAAGAACATGTGGATTCAACACGAAAGCGAACTTTAAGATTTCCATCATCCTGTGCTTAGCTACTGTGTATGATGATACCCAAAATGAAGGATTTTGGAGGTCCCAGCAAACTGGGCCCTGGAAACCCAGTAACCCCTTTCCTTGAACTATCTCTGCTTCCACAGGACGAAGTCAGCCTCCAACTAAGCTGTCTTTTGCTTTTACCTCTCCCACTCTGTCCTGTAGGAAGAATCCCAACACATCCCACACCCATTCACTCTACAACTTTAGAGGCCCAGCTCCAACGCAGACTGGTTATTTCCATGAAGAGAATAAAGCACGTGGATTGATCAATTCATTATGACACCCGAATAAAGTGGATAAACATACACACACACACACACACAAACACAAAGACACACACACACACACAGACACAGAGTCACACATCCTTGAGAATGTTTATTTTTCATTCCATACAATCCACATTTACCCCCTCTTCCTGAATTTTTGTGACTCGATCTGTTTTTCCTTTAGTTCCTGTGCATAAGACCATGCTGAGTACTGCCGTCCTGCATATGGCTGTAACTTTTTAGGAGTTCTGCTGTATTAGGTAAAATCTGATGCTCCATCATATTCAACTCAACAACTGGGAGTCCCCTAGAGAAACACAAACTCATGTTAAAACGCATTTTCTCTGAGCCATACTTTGAAATGTTTCAATTGTGGGGCCCGCTGAGAAAAGGATATCCCTTCCCCATTTGTGATCCCTTAAACTTCCTCCTACCACGTGTTACAAACTGTTCTGCGCAATCCCTGCCCCATTCCCAGTATTGTCTGTGAGGGGAGTCAGCTAACAAGATGCACTGGGCCCTAAAAGCACACACAAGTCTGATGGGGCAACAGCTTAAGGAAATCCATCAATCTAAACAGTCCTTTGTGGTTTGGGGCAAGGATGACCAGGACGCACATTCAGGGAGCCCAATCTCATGGGGTTGGCGGGATGACTGCCGGTGGGGTTGACAGCCGTGGAATCAAGTGCCACAGACTGAACTGAATGATTTTCAGCTTTACTTCTCATTGATTCTGGAAATGGACGATTCTTCACTGGGCTTAAGACTCCACAGCTATCACCCGCTTTGCAGTGCAGTCTCTAACGTGCCTTTTCAGCCCAATGCCATGAACGTCCTGGATTCTGTCACTCTCTGTCTTCCTCTCAAGGAATTTCTACATGTACGAAAGGAGCCTCAATTTCTACATTTCTGAAATGAGCACCCAGGCTCCCTGAATAGGCAGGTGTGTCAACCCCCTTATACTGGGCATCAAACAGCTCCAGTGCCAACTAACGGCTCACCTGACGTCTCTGTTCCCTCTTCAGGTGGCTTCATCCTCTTGTAGTATTGCAGGGGATTGCGCCACAGGTCCTTACATAGGATCTGTCAGGGGACTCAATCGGGAAAGGCCTCATCAGGGCTCAGAAAGGTGACCCAAGCAGCTGGGAACACACGGGGTCATTCCTCATGTTTCCCAGTGAGGACTCACCTCAGCAATCTTGTTAGATCCTGCGAAGTTGTGGTCAGAGAACCAGTTGAAGAAGTTAAGGCTGCTGTTGTGGTGTCTGCGGCGATAGGCCTCCACTTCATAATCCGGATACCACTCAATTGGAGTGGAATGAGAAGCCCTGTATTCTACAGAGACAGGAGTTTTTGTGGGAAGGGGGCTGGATCCCGTTGGCAATGATCCACCCACCATCTTCCTTCCACTACCCATCCTGGGAGCCACCTGTCACCTGTGATGTTCACCAGATATTCCTTGGTAATCACTTTATTCTGGAAGTAGGGGTTACTCCGAAAGAACAACATGATCTTGCAGAGATGAACAGGATGCTTCTCTTCTTCCACCTGTCAGGACAAGGTGGAGAAAGCTTAGATAGGTTTTCGGGTGAGGTGCTCACTCTTGCTTACAGGAATGAATTATTTCCCTTACCCTCCCCCGCTAAACCCTCTAGCCCCAGTCTTCCTGGCCTCACCTCCAGGCTGACCATGTAGCTCAGCATGTCTTCATCTTCGTCAGTGATCAGGGCTGACATCTGGGGGTGGTTTGCAATCTGATTTAGGTCAAAGAGACTTTACACACGATGGAAGGGAAAGCGAGGAGCAACAGGGAAGAAGGCCTAAGAGCACCCAGAGGCTGGGGTAGGGGATTTCTCAGATCTGCTTCCATGTATGATCTCCTTTCGCCTCCCCGTCCCCGTAAACTAAGGCCTCCTGTGTTCACAGAGGGTGTATGATTCTGAGGCTGACTGCACTGACATGGGGAGGCGCGATTTGCAGAGACTTGCTGGTGTCTGAGGAGTGGCAGAATCTGCTTATAGCCGAAGACGCCCAGTCCCAGATCGGACTAGCAAGGGGCAGCAATCACACTCCCTTAAAAATAGCTTCATTCACTGAAAAACCTCTTCCGCTCTGAACTCGCTTCTGCTCTTCAAAAAGATGCCCCAAACGTCTGCTGCTCGGCATCACCAAGGGTTTCTCTGCCGCATGCAGGACAATAGTACCCACGCCTGCTCCGGCTTTCCACAGCCACACTGGTCCGTGGCAACTCCCCTTTGTTCCCCAAAGAGTCACATCGACGCCGAGCTGCCCATCGGTCACTTACACTTCCCCGAGAGCACCTCTCCACTAGAAAGGCCGAAGAAACACTGAGAAGGATACAACATTGGCCCAGAAGCCAGGGACGCTCTGGATGACGGCGCCTCTGCGGTCTAGCTGGGGCTTGCGCCTCCGCTCCATCTTTTCCCGCTGCCGAGAAAAGGCCTTCCTGGCTTGGGCATTAACCGGCTCCAGCTCCACCTGAACGGCCAGCAGCTCCTCCAGTGCAGACTCTGGGGTCATGGGCCCAGGGCCAGGCACAGCCTGCTGTGCCCGCTGGGCCTCCTCCCGCCGCTCCACGAGGCCCTCCTCCTCCGCCACCACCTCCACCTCCGCCACCACCTCCACCTCCGCCATTATGTCATCCAACAGCAGCACCGCCTCCTCCCCCAAAGCCGCCTGCTCACTCTCCACCCCGGCCGCCCCCTCCTGTACAGCCTCCATCCTGAAGGCGGTGCCCTCCTTGGCACTCGCACACACCAAGGCCTGTGCTGCCCGACCCACGCCACAGAAACCCTGCCGCAGCCTCTCTGGCACCCGGTAGGTCAGCGAGCCCTCAGGGCGCATGCGCCGGGCTTCCAGGCGCCCCCTAAGGGACTGCGCGCGAAGGGCCGGGGGGCCGCACCCAGGCCGACTTCCTCCCGTCGTGGCCAGTCAATGGGAGGGCGGTGGGCGTCTCCCTGGGCGGCACAGCCACTGGCGGGCCTGCATCTCCAGCCCCCCCACCCCCCGCCTTCCCTGCCCAAGCCTCCTCCGAGAAGCCCTTGGAGCTTGTGCCGGGTAGCTAGGCATCCGGGCACACGCGGGCTGCGTGGCCTTTGGAATTGTGGGCATGGCAGCCCTGTGCCCTGAAATCCTCAGTGTGGCAAGCCATGAACATCTCTATGTGTCATGAACACAGGAAACATCTCTCTTCGTTAGGCAGGCCAGGTAGATGGTACGGAGGTAATACAGCAGATGCAGAGAACTCTCTCTGGTTGCTGGGGCTAGGGCGGCAGGGGTGTCCTGGGGGAAGTGATCGGGGCGGGCACGTGGGAGGAAAGTCGCCTGCCGGTGCTGAGGTGGAATTGATCTGCTGTAGAGGCCAGAGCCCCGGCACACACTCTCACAGGTCGAGGCAAATAGAGGCTCCGAGTACCATGCTTCCTCCCTGAGGATGCTGTACTCCAAGGAGCATTCCAAAGGGCCTCTTGCCCTATGCCCTGGGCACACCAGAGGCCAGCCGCCAGGGTTGGCCATTGTCGGCCTGCGCGCACGCTGTTGTGCGCTGCCTTGACGACCCAGAGGCTCCCGCACCCGCAGCAGCGGTTGCGGTGCCTGTTGGTGGGGCTCTGCAAGCCCAGGGCCGGGGCCTCTGGCTCCCGAGCTCCTGTGCGCAGTTGAGCCTGCTGGGGACCGGAGCCCTTTGGCCAGTGCGGGATCTGCGGGTCCAGCGGAGCTCCTCAGGAAACCTGGGTCCACGTAGGTGTGGGACCAGGTTCACAGCAGGGCGACGCCCGTGGGTCTTGCAGGGAGCGGGTCTGCTGGGGAGCGGGCCCCCAGAGCCTACGGGTGCGGGGCATGGGCTGGGCTGGGCTGGGCTGCGCAGGCCCAGGGTCTGTGGGAGCACCCAGGAGAAAACCGTGTTCAGGCTGGAGGCAATGCTGGAGAGGACGGCCGGGGTACAGAGCAAGGAGGCGGCCTTGGAAGAGGAGGCGGTGCTGAAGGTGGAAGACATCATGGCTGAGGTGGAGGTGGTGGTTGAGGTGGAGCCCGACGTGGGGTGGCAGAAGGAGGGCCAGCGGGCACAGCCTGGCCCTGGACCGAGCACACCGGGGCCGTCAATGGACTCGCTGGAGGTCCTTCACTTGGAGCTGGGCTCCGTGAATGCCCCAGGCCACAGAGCATCTCCGCCTTGTGAGCCAGAGCCATATCCTTGCGGCTGCCGATTTGGGATGGCGGGCAGCAGGGGATAGTCATCGGGCCTCGGGGGGTATGGGGGCTGTTTGGGGGGAGGAGCCAGGTGGGAGGCACGTGGGGTCAGCCAGGAGGCAGGGGATGGGGGACAGCGTGGGAGCCGAGGCCACGTTCCCGCAGCTGTGAGGGCAGCTCGCTTGTAGCAGCCCTGGGAGCACGTGGTAGGGAAGGGGAGCCAGGGCCAGCACTGACAAGGGAGAATCGCGGCGCCAAGGTCCCTTTGCGCACAGCCCAAATTCGAAGGACGCGTTTCCCTGGGAACGTCCCTGGAGGACGGGGAATCTGTATGCCATTACCAGCCATTGAACCACCCCTGCTCTCGGTGCCTGTTTCCAGCAGGCTCACCCCAGAAACGCAAGGTGCTTAAGACGGGTTCGCGGCGCATGGGGCTGCCGACCACCTGACGGCGGGCACCAGCTCCGCAGATGCGCATTCATCCAACTGCAGGCGCTGCACTCAAAGGCGTGTAGGCCCTGAGCCTGTATAACTTCCTCTGGACCCACGCAATTCCCTTGGAGAGCGCCAGGCACGACCCTGCTGTGGCTTCTAACTACAAGGCTTCCCTCAGGTGGACAGGCCCACCCCTCAGGGAGACTAGGATAAGAGGACACCACACACCCGGACATCAGCGGAGCATGTCCAGCACCCAGCACACAAAGGCCTCCTGCATCTCAGAAACTCAGAGAAGCAGCCGCCTCACACCACCCCCGGCCCCTCCCGTCCCTCAGCTGCAACCACCTGCCCACTTTTTCTGCCTCCCGTCTCTGGTCAGCCCAGGCCGTCTTGGCCGGGGTCCACCCACTCCAAAAACCACCACAGTTGTGGCGTTGCCTCCTCGCCAGACAGAGATAGAGGGCCAACAATGAAGGGTGACTGGCCAAATGTCTGGGAGATGGCCCTGTTCCACATTGTCTGTGTTCTTGCGAAATTGCAAGGCGTCACGAGGCTTGCCCACCCAATCCTCTGGAGAGTTCTTGCGCAGAGGTAGATTGTTTGGCACACGAGATGTCGGCGTGGGTCGGAAAGCATGCGGAAGTCCTGCTTTGCTACGTGATGGATTTGCAGGTCAGGCTGGGGAGCCTGGGTCTGTGGGAGGAGTCCAGTGTCTGAGTCAGTTTGAGGTCCCCCTGGGGACCAGGGTTGTCTCAGTGGGAGAGCTGGGAAGGGGAAACTCATGGTTCACTACAGCTAGTAGGCCACCTCAGCCCGGCTAGTTGAGATGGTCCCATTGAATCCATCCTCTTTCTCCTTGATCCGGCAGGTGGAGGAACTCAGCCATCCCGGTTACCGGTGGCAGGATGATTTCCTTTCATCCCAACCTTTATTTCCACAGTGAAATCATCATGAAGGAGCACTGTGTTGGCATCCTCGGTAAGGAATGCCTCCCAGCATGGTAGGGGAGCTGGTGTGTGGGAGGGTGGGACTGGCATGAACCTTCCTGACTCCTCTCCCTGCAGGCTACAGGGTGTCTCATTCCACTGCAGTCCAGCGGTTCTGGGATCACGAAGGTCAAGCCTCCAGCTGCAGGCAGTACACCTCCTACCTGAGCTCATTCAGCTGTTTGGCTGAACATGACTGCCCGGGTTTTGGCAGGATTGCTGAGGTGGGGTTCGCCGTGGGGCATCATGGGAAAGGACCTAGCTGGTCATTCCTTGGTCTCTGGGGAATTGGCTTTGAACTGTCACCTGAACTGTCCTGGACCCACTTCTGCAGTCCCCTAGATCATCAGCCAGGGCCTATGGCTCAATCCATTGCAGTTCTATCCCATGGAGAGAGGGTCAGCCCTAGAGGCGGAACAGAGAGGAGGCCAGGCGAGCAGCCTAGGGCTGGGAAGGGCTGGGAACTGAGAGGCCTTTTGACCTGGATCTGGGCCCCACATGGAGAACCCAAGGATCCGGGAGGAGACTGCAGTGAGCAATCCCAGGCAATCCGTGGGTTGGGGGAGAGAGGCCCATCAGGGACATGTAACACCCACATTTCAGGATCGGGGCACCTTAAGCCACTATGATGCATATGTGGCTAAAGTCAGTGGGTGACAAGCAGGGCTTAAGGGATAGCTGTCTCATCATTACTCGCCAGCTCCCTGCCCTGCGGTAAGACCTGCTACCACCTGGGGCTCATTTTGAGATCAACCAGGGCCCCCTTTTTCTCCACGAGGATGTCCACCTGAGGCCCACCTAGGTCTGTGTCCTTTCACAGTGTTTCTCCCAGGCCAGTCATGTTTTGTTTCCATGACCCCGGCTGCCTTGACATGTGTAATCCTCTCTGCCATCCTCACTCCCGCTGCCCTGCCTTCCCATATAAGTTAGTCCACCTCACACGGAATCTGGAGGACCACACTGGGCTCCAGTGTGAGGCAATGTTTTATTTTCTTCAGGTACATGTATTTTAGGGCTACCTCCAGGGCTGGGAATGTGAAGAGATTGCCAAATGGCTGGGGACCTTCAGTGTGTGTCCAGGGAGGGAACCCGGCTGGGAATTAAGGCCCACCTGAGTAATGGTATGGACATCCAGTGTCAGTTATCTTGATAAAGGCCTGCTTTCTTACATCACCTACTATTAATATAAAAGTTAATTCCTTAGAATATTGAAAAAACAAATCTATGTATGAAGAAATATAATTTGTTCATAATTGTATGGAAAAAGCTGCCGACCGATCCATTTTCCATTACAATTCTTATGGGAGACTTGAAGGGTTTAGCAAGTTTTAAGATGCATTTCTATTCGTCTACTCCTGCCAGTTTTTATGATCATTTTTGTAATACAAGGACATGGCCTCTGGAAAGTTTTTGAGGGACTTTCAGCTTCTTTTAGGGTAGATAGTTGTAAATTTTGAATTGTTTTCCCCTGCGGTTCTTTTGAGGTTACTCTTTGTACTTTCTTTGGGGGGTGTTAAATTTGTTTTCTTGTTTCGCCCTTGTGGAACTTTCGTTTTCAAGGAATTGTGTGTGAGTGTGTGTGTGTGTGTGTGTGTTAGATATGGGAGTTAGCCTGTGAGCATGTTTTCGAATACGGATTTTTTTTTACTTATCAATTTTGGGGGTGTGTGTGTGTGTGTGTGTGTGGGTGTGTGTTTGTTTCTTTTCAGTTGGAGTCTCACTGTGTCTTCCAGGCTGCAGTCAAGTGGCAAACTCTCAGATCACTGCAACCTCTCCCTCCAGCTTCAAAGGATTCCTCTGCCTGCTGATGCTGTTTTTCCCCCACATGAGGAGAACATGCAGACAGTTATAAAAAATTCTGTGCCTGGGTAGGTATGAAAATATAATTTCAATGAATGGTAAATTTCACAAATACAGTTTCACATTTGTATTTTGCAACATTTTGAAAATTTTAGTTGCTGACACATGAAATTCTGTGTTGACTTTCATGTTAAATGTACACTTTTGAATCAATTTCAACAGTGACAACTAGCGAAGGCCAAGCGTTCGTTCAGGAAGCTGAAAGCAGTCGTTCTGTAAAAAAAACCATATTTATTGAAGGTATATTTAGAGAGATTTTAGAAGGCTTCAGTCAATATTTTTGTTTCTGTTGCTCTGGTGTTTTATCATACAGGGACCAGACTGTAGCATCAGTAGCTACAGTTACAAGGCTACCAAAGACTCAGTGCTATAGAAATTATTATTGTGGAAATTGGCAGCCTGGCTGTCTGTTTGAGGAGACTAGAGGACTTAGGAGTTTCCACCCAAAGTACAAGGGCCTGGTTTAGTGGGTGGCCTTCTTTTGCTGAAGTAGATAAGATCCAGGAGAAGGGTGGATTCACTGTAGTAGCCAGGGCTTTGAGACTGGTAAAGCTTATTTGTCTCCTAGTGCCATTGCCAGATATTGGTCTGTGCATAAAGGCACTTCCCGGACTCGCTGACTCCTGTAAATTCAAATGTAGAATTTAGATTTAAATCCCTATTCCAACTTCTTAAACTTAGATCTAATAGGTGGGTAATAAAATATGTATTCAGAAGAAAGGGAGACGTCAGGTAGGTATATAAGCAAATCATCCTGGTCAAATACCTTCAAAAATATTACTACAAAAAATTACTGAAGATTAAACCTTAAAAAAGTTATTTTAATTGGAGAAACAGAAAAAGGTTGGAGTCATTTTAAACCCTGAGGTGTAAAGGTACTGTTATTAGATTACAGGAATTATATACAATGAATAATTTGTGGGAAGAGCAGCATACTATCTCTTTAGTATGGCTAGAGATTCATAAGCCGTGTAAGAAAACTCAGAGATTGAGAAGAAAATGTTTTCAGGGATTTTGTTCTGTTATGAAAGACTTTTAAAATGGTTTCCTACTGATCAATGATTCACTTATATTTATCACTGAGGCATATGCTATATACCCTTCTATATAGGGATGAAGTTATAGTTTCTATCATGTAGATACAAAAACATGTGACTCTGTACCACATTTGCATTAGAGCCTTTGGCATGATTAATGAAGCAAACGGTGGAACTGTCTACGTCAGGTTACAGGTGGGCACAGCTGGAAGCTTCCGTCCCTTGCACTTTAACATTTCTGCATTCTCATCTGTCTCTCCTGGAAAGAAAACGGACTATAACTATCCTAAAGGACATATGTTACATGAAGACACTAAGTATTGAGATAAGACCATGAGTTGTCTTATCAGTGTCTTGGCATTACATTTATATGTATAACTTATACAAAAAATCCAGTTTATTTTATCACGATTACATATTACATCCCACATTTATGTATTTTATTATCTTTCCAGTGACTGTTTTGTTTTGTTTTGTTTTGTTTTGTTTTGAAATCTCGTTCCACTCTGTCACTCAGTCTGGAATGCAGTGGCCTGATCTCAGCTCACTGCAACCTCCATCTCTTGGGTTCAAGGATTTTAAAAATTAGTAAAGAATTTTCAATTGAGTTAGCAGAAGTAAAAATAAACTTAAGTGGAAATAGAACAACAAAATTGTAAACACTATTTCTCAGCAATTCATAGATTATCATACTAGGAATTGAAATGTACTTAGAACTCAATGATACCGCCAATATTAAAGATTAAATCTGTGAGTAGCAAGAAAAGTGATATTACAATAGGAGTTTACAGACAAATATTTCTCTAATAACTTGAAAATTAATGTACTAGATATTTCAATAAAGAATTAGAAAAGAAACAACAGAATCAATTCTGAAAAACTAAAGTGTGGGAATAATGATGTAGACAAAATTAGTAAAACATACAAAGCTAACCTTTGCTTGTTGGAGAAATATAATAAATGATGCAACCGTCAGTCAAGTTTAGAAAAAAAGGGAGAAAACATAGATAAAACTAAGAATTTAAAAGGTACACAACCATAGATACAGCATAGATTAAGAAGCTAATAAGGAAATATCATTAACACCTTAACCTACAAATTTGAAAACTTAGATCAAATAGACAGATATTTATAATCTGTCTCTATATATAGACATATATATCGCTTTCTATATATATTTTCATATTTATACATAATTTTTATATTTGTATCTTACATTTATATATATAATATATAAACATAAGCTATGTATATAGCTTAGTAAAATTGATACAAGAAGACATATATAATCTGTATAGTCTCATAAATGTCCAAGGAAATAAAGGATTCTTCCTAGAGATAAAACGCTAGGCTCAGATTTTTTTCCCCAGGCAGAGCATTTCAATATATATGAAGAATTCTATAGAATAAAAAAGGGAAAATCCTAAACTCATTGTGTGAAGCAAGCAGAACTTTGACGCCAACAAGACATAAACTGAGTGTAGAAAAAGATATGAAAATTAAGGCCATTCTCATTCCTGAAGCAAATCGTAAAATCCCAAATGTAACAAGATTTATGTGGATTCTTTGAGGGTTAGAAGGAAATTTCCTTCTGCCAGATCCTGCTACTCTGGGACAACCCACACACAAATTTATGTTTTGAGATTTTCTGTAATACCCATGCAATATGGAACTGGCTTGACAATCTGTGTGATAGCCAGCCTGTGGCCATGACTTCTCAGGGACACAAATCTTTTCTGTTTGCCTCCTTGTTCTGCTCAGCTCCAAGAGAACTTTGACCAAAGTTCCTTGAGCTTGGAAATAGGAATGGGTTTGCTTCTGTTTCACCCTTACTGTGAAGATACAGTCCGGTGGAATCCAGATCCACTGGGAGAGAGTCGGCTATTAAACTCTTTTCATGAGTAGTCCCTAGGCCTTGACTGGAGTCTTTCTTGAGATATGAGGCTAATAGTTCCTTCTTGGTCCACCACTTTTTGATATAATTAATGCTTCTTCTATTGGGAATTTTTAATTGTTTGGGAAGTGACATGGTTTGGTGTGTCTCCATTCAAATCTCAGCTTCAATTGTATCTCCCAGAATTCCCTCGTGTTGCGGGTGGGACCCAGGGGGAGGTAATTGAATCATGGGGGTCGGTCTTTCTCATGCTATTCTTGTGACAGTGAAGAAGTCTCACGGGATCTGATGGGTTTTTCAGGGGTTTCTGCCTCAGGTTCTTCCTCATTCTCTCTTGGCATTGCCATGTAAGAAGTGCCTTTATTCGTATACCATGATTCTGAGGCCTCCACAGCCATGTGGAACTGTCAGTCCAATTAAACCTCCTTTTATTCCCAGTTTCAGGTATCTCTTCTTCAGCAGCGTGAAAATGAACTAAGACAGGAGGTTTGGTCCAAATAACCTTGGCTTCCATGATAGAAGATAGAAGTTGCTGAAATGTTTAATCTTTTCTGTGGCAACCTTTTGCAGTGGGTCTTATTTTTCTCATTTTTTTTTTCTTGTTCTCTTCACCTTTGTTTCTCACAGGGTACTCTCGCTCTGTAGACCAGGCTGGAGCGCAGTGGCAGGATCTCAGCTCAACACATCCTCCGCCTCCCAGGTTCAGCCTCTGCAGTAGCTGGGATTACAAGCATGCATCACCACGCTCAGCTAATGTTTTGTATTTTTAGTAGAAGCCAGGCTTCACCATGTTGGCCAGGCTGCTCTCCTACTACAGATCTCAGGTGACCCGCCCGACTCAGCTTCCCAAAATCCAAAGTGCTGGGAATACAGGTGTGAGCCACCGAGCCCAGCCAACTCCAGTACTTTTTACCTAAGCCAGTGGACGAGTGGAGTTGCCTTTATTTTTTTTTTCATGGTCTCGCTGTGTCATCCAGGCTGGAGTGCAGTAGTCTGATCTCGGCTTACTATACAATCTCTGCCACCCATGTTCAGGTGGTTCTCCTACCTCAGCCTCCCAAGTAGCTGGGACCACAGGAAAGTGCCACTAGGTCTGGCTAATTTTTGTATTTTTGGTAGAGACAGCTTTTTGCCATGTTGCCCATGCTGGTCTCCAACTCCTGACCTCAAGTGACCCACCAACCTCGGCCTCCCAAAATGTAGAAATTACAACAAGAGCCACGAAGCCTGGCCTGGAGTTGTGGCTTTTTGACATAAGAAATCTGTGGAGGGAAAAGCTTGGTTTGTGGGAGCACCTGAGCTCAGTTTGGCTCAAAGGTTTGGGATACCTATTATTGAGTGGCAGTGATGGTATGTTGTTAATGTACAATATCTTCCTGTATATAGCATACGTCTATGCTCATCAGATATTTTCAGGTAAAAAAAGATAGTCTTTCCAGTAGTTTGAGCCATTATAGCAATTTCCACCAGGGGATTTCAAAGTCCAATTCCAGTTGTGGGCAACAGTGATTAACATAATGGTAATTAATGAGAAGAGATTTTGAGACGTCCAGCCACGTTTCCATGTCAGTGCCTTGTTTGCAGTATTATGAAGAAAGAGTGCATTGGACTAGATACTAAGAAAAACATTGAATTATTTTTCTTGCCTCTATAACATCAAAGGACAATTAGAGATATAGAAACTATGGAACATTTCACAGCATGGCTTGACATTTCACTGAACTTTTATCCTTTTAACCATGTACAAAGTTTGTTACCTATGCAAAGGTAGGACTGCAAAAGGAAGACAGAGGTGGAGTCAGAGGTCACAATCCACAGCAAGGTGACACTCTTGTTGATCGCACCTTGAAAGCCAAATTAGAGCGAGAATTAACTTTCCGGTTGCCGTAAGAGAACAAGGAGAATGAAGCTACCAGCAGTTAACAGTATTGGATTAATTGAAATGAAGGTGGACAGAGTTTTTTGGCTTTCCATCAAATTGAGTAAAGAAAAGGTAACCGCTTATCTAATTTCACACACATACAATTATGGATTAATTAAAAGATTACACAACCCATATATTATGGGTTTCTCATATAAGTGTATATATACATGGGCAAACTCACAGTGTGCCAGTATGTGTCTATATCCAAATATATACAAATCCATGTCCAACAGTTAGCAAGTGAGAAATTCTCTTCCATTTCACCATTCCCTTTCCTAGAATTTTTTCATAAATATAATTTTTCCATATATTTGAAGCCTACTCTCTGGAGGCATGTAATGCATGCATGCAGTAAACCTGTGCGATATCACAATGTTGGTGTCAGAGAAAACTATAACACCGATGTTATAAAAGATTAATTGTGAGGAGAAAGTTATGCTTCGCATTACTACAAATACACAAGTATGATTTCATCCAAAGCTGAAATCAGTCAATATAATTTGTTTTTAATGTTTTATTTAAAATCCTTAATTTCAACAGGATTACTCAAGAAAAATAACGTTATTGGTATTAAATAATGTTGATGTATTCCCTTTAATTGTTGATTATTTAAAATGTCAGTAAAATAGTAAATGGCACTGTACAATGTAGTTTCATGAAGCATTCTTTATAGTTTTCATAAAATTGATAGTCTCCATGGAATATTTTAAGACTGAGGAAGTTCCATATATCATTTGATTGTACTTTCACTTTATTACTTGCTTGCATGTCATAACTGATGGAAATAAAACTATGTATATTTACAAATATGAAAAACATGGACTTTTGTTTACGTTTTCTAGTGAGACACAGTTACCAATAATTTTATCTATATAGGAAAATTTTTACAAACCCAAAGTTCTAATGTTTCTTTTCTTTGAAGTTTCGTATTTCAGTCTAGGTATGTAATGGAATTGGCTGTGATCATTCTTTGATTTCACTGTTATTTGTGAGTTTCTGATATGCTTTTAGGAATGTATAGAGCTTAACGCTTGCTTTCTTCTTCTTCCTCTACCTTTGGACCTGTATATGCGATGTCTGCAGTAATGTGCAGTGCTATCTGACATACGGTTGCTGAAAGATACAAGCATATATAGAATTCTTCGTTTCAGTGAATCTTTAGGAACAGACAAGTAACCTGAGAGATAATTACGGTATGAATGTAAGCAAGCAGTTTATCATAGAGGTACAATAAGGGTGAAAATAAATTTAAAAATACATGCCTCATCCAAAACATGAGGTAGTAAAAATGAAAAATTTAAGTTGGCATAAAGAACACTTTAAAAGTTCTGATTCTTTCTGGTGAGAGCAAGGAGCTCAGAAACCATGAGAAAGTCCTTCAAAGCTGCATGTTGGATTTGCAGGTCAGGATGGAAAGCCTGGGTCTGGGGGAGGGTGCTAAGGTCCTGGTCAGGTTGAGGTCCTTCTGGGGCTCAGGTGTGTCTCAGCGGGAAAGCTGGGAAGGGGAAACGCATGCTTCACCCCGGCTAGAATGCCACCTCAGCCCACCTAGATGAAATTGCCCCTTCACAGCCCTGTTTCTCCTTCTTGGACAGGCAGGTGGAGGAACTCGGCCACCCTGAATACAAGGGGTAGGAAGAAGTTTGCCTTTCATCACAACATTTACTTCGGAAACAAAGTGACGACTAAGGAGTATTGCGTTGGCATCCTCCCTGAGGAGTAGAGGGGGTAGTACCTCGGGAGCTGGGCCTGGCGTGCGCCTTCCTGACTCGTCTCCCTCCAGGATACAGGGCGACTGGCTCCACTGCAGTCCAGTGGTTCTAGGGTCATGCAGGTGAAAGCCCGAGTTTCCCGCAGGTCACTGCCTGAGCTTCTTCAGCTGGTTGTCTGACTGTGAGGGCCCAGGTTACGGCACGATTGCTGAGGTGGGGCAGCTATGGGGCATCATGGCAAAGGACCTTCTTCGACATTCCTTGGCATCGGAGGAATTGGCTTTGAACCAGAACCTGACCTGTCACGACCAATTTGCCCAGTCCACCAGATCATCAGCCAGGGCCTGTGGCTCTATATTCTGCAGCACTACCCAAGGGAGTTAGGCCCTCAGAGAGGGAACAGAGAAGAGGCCAGGGAAGCAGCCCAGGGCTGGGGGTTGACAGGCCTGTGGGTCCTGGAGTTAGGACACACATAGAGAAGCCAAGGCTCAGGGAGGAGACTGCAGTAAGGAAACTCAGGCCATCATGGGCTGGTGGAGAAATGCCCATCAGGGAACTGTGGTACCCACATTTCACGATGGGGGAACCGTAATCTGCTTAATAGGCACAAGTAGCTAAGGTCAATGGGTGGGAAGCCAGGGTCAAGAGATAGCTCCCTCATCATCCCTTGCTAGCTACTTCCCTGTCCTGAGGCTTGCTTCTACCTGGGGTTCAGTTTGGGCTCAACCAGGGATCTCTCACCCTCCACACAGATGCCCACCTGAGGCCTCTCTAGGTCTGCGTCCTCCCAGAATGACTCTCCCAGGCCTGCTAAGTACCGTTTGGATGACACCACGCTCCACTGACATACTTGGTTCCCTCCGCCATCCTCATTCACCCAGCAACTCCCCACCCCAAAAAAGGCAGGCCACCGCACAGGGAATCTGGAGGACCACACAGGGCTCACAGGGGAGGAAATGTGAAGAGATGGCAAAACAGAACAGGACATTCCGTGTGTTTCCAGAAGGCAATCTGGCTGGATATTAAGGCCCACCTCAGTATTGGTGAGGACACCCAGTGTCTCTTGGCCCTGAGCTTGTGCACACAAACACGCACATTGTCTAAACGGCATTGACATCACTACTACCTGAGTCATCCTCAGATTCTATACAACCCCTGTAAAAATATCAATGACACATTCTTCTTAGAAAAACAATCTGGGAATCCCAAATTTGCTATGAAATGGCAGAAGATCCTGAAAACCCAGAGCAATCCAGTAAAAAGCACAAAGCTGGAGCCACCACACTACCTAACTTCATGATATACTACTACAAAACTTTTTGTACCAAAATACAATAGCACTGGCAGAAAAGCAGAGACTAGAGCTTAGGAAAAACAACAGGAGCCCAGAACTAAGTCACTGCATTTGCAGCTCACAGCCTTTTCCCAAAGAAGCAAGAACGCCCAATGCAAAATCAAGTATCTTCTATAAACTAGGTTGGGGAAATCTGAATAGCCACACAAAGGATTTTACAAGTGGATTATTTATCACCAAACTCCAGTGTCAGATGTGAAACGATAAAAATAGCAGAAGAGATCACAAGGAAGAAGCTCCATGGCGTCCGTGTGTGCAATGATGGTCTCAAAGTGACTGCAAGAACACAGTAAACACCATCAAAAATAGAGAATGGAATCATATCAAACTAAAGTGCTTCACCACACCATAGAAAACTCAACATACAGAAGGGGCATCCTACAGGATGGGAGCAATGATTGGATCACCATACATCTGTTCATGGGGGAATAGTCACAGTACATAAGGAACTCCCAACAACTCAATAGCATGAAAACAAATGGGCGAAGGCTGCGAAGACTCATTTGTGAAACTGAGACATACAGTTGCCCAGAAGACACACTAAAAATTCCTCATTATCCCCAATCCATCACGAAAATGCAAATCAAAAACACAATGAGATTTCTTCTCACTTCAGTCAGAATGCATATTATCCGAAAGACAAACAAACAAAAAAAAAAAAAGAAAGAAAAGAAAACCCTAATCTCTGGTGAGGAGGCAGAGAAAACGAATTCCCTGCTCACTTTTGGGGAGAATGTAAATTAGTGCTGGCATTAAAGAAGCTTTATGGCTCTTATTTAAGTATAAACAGCCTTCAGAAATCTACAAGTAGAACCACCCACTATATGATCCAGCAAATCAGAATACCCGGGCACGCCCGCCAGTACACAGATCAGTATGTTGAAGCGGTGCGCGCACCCATGCAATTATTGCTGCACTCATTACATTTTTGCTGTAGCCAAAATGCGGAAGCAACCTGAGAGTCCCTCCATTGATAAGTGGATTAAAAAATGGGGCAAAAACGCATATGCGCAACGGAAATATGCGCTGCAATAAGAAATCAGGAAATCCTGCCAGTTGTGAGAATGTGTGGGAATCTGCTGAATGTGTGCATGCCATTCTGTTAAGTGACATAAGCCAGGTATCAGAAAGGAAAGTAGCACATGATCTCATTCTTATATGAAATCAAAAAAGCGGACTTCACAGAAGTAGTGACTCCAATGACTGCGGTGAAGAGGGTGCACTGACGAGATGCTGGATGAAGAACTCATACTTCTAGTTATAAAGGAGGAATAGGTTAAAAATATTTTCTTCAGCATGCTCACTATAACTAGTGGTAACATATTCTTTCTCTAAAAATATTCGAATACAGTGCAGGTCAAGTTTTTTCACAACAAAAATGACAACTATGTGAGGTCACACATATGTTGATTGGCTGGATGTATCCAATGCATAATGTATATGACCTGTTGAACATCACGCCTTAAGTTGTAAATATGTATCATTTCATATGACATTTTTTAAACAAACATACAATTTTTAAAATGCCTTAACAAAATAAATGCAAATAAAATATTTTATTATAAAGCAGTGCTTTTCTTTTCTAGCAAAGTCTTTTTCATGACACAGGAAAGAATGCAAGCCGTTTCGTAACTTGAGAAATAAATACATATGTGTACATGTATATATATACGTATATACATGTATATACGTATATAAATGTGCATATATACGTATATACATGTATATACGTATATATGTGTGTACATAGGTATTCTTATATAGGTGTATATATATATGAAAATCCCAATGAATGCTGATGATGAGTTGAAAGATAGAAATTCCAGGCACAGAGGCTATAGTCCATGAATTGAAACCTTCAGTGCATGTTTCAAAACAAGACGTGAGGAGGAGGAAGAAAAAAGCAAAAAACACAAAGCCATGGCAGGGCCATGGGTCACACCTGTCATCCCAGCACTTTGATAAGCTGAGGTGGGAGGATTGCCTGCACTCAGGAGTTCCAGATGAGCCTGGGGCAACATGGACCCACATTCAAAAAGTAAGTATTTAGTTAATTAATACATAGCTTGGAGGGGTGGCATGCACCTGTACTGCCAGGTGTGTGAGAGTCTGAGTTGACAGGATCACATGGGTGTGTGGTGCCTGGGCTGCAGTGGGCTGAGATCGTGGGGCTGCTGTCCAACCTAGAAGACAGAGTAAGACCCATTCTCGGAAAACAAACAAAAAAACAGTCACATTAGGTAAATTAAAACTATGTAGTGTGAGGAGAATCAAAATAAACGAAACATCATTAGAGCCTACGCGATGTGATGAAGGAAACCAGCTTTCACATAATAACAGCCCCGGCTGGGGAGAACAATGAGAAAGGGCAGAGAGAACCCTGTAAATAATACCACGCCAAATTCCCCAAATGAGTTAAAACACATAAAAGTACGAAGAGTGCTTCTTTTCAATTCAATGCCCTTGAATTCAGAATTAGAAAGGAAACCCAGATAGAGAATAGAAAGATAGACGATACAGATGGAGAGAGTGTGGTGGGGAAGCAAGGGAAGGATGAAAGGGGTGTAAAGGAAGGAAAAGAAAAAAGGAAGGGAGAGAGAGTGACAGATGTTCAAAGACACAGATACAAAGTCTACAATGGTTGTAGAGATAGGCATGTGCAAATTGTCGCAGGGAGTGTGGAAAAATATCGGAACCACGGAGACACAGGTGGAGTCAGAGAAAATATACAAACCCGCACAGAGAAATAAACATACGCAACCACAAACACACACGTGCTACTTTAAACACGAAAAGACACCAAGTCCCTGTCGGTACAAATCACAGATGTGCTTCCGAGTTACTGAGGCACGGTGCAAATTTGTCAGTGCCCTTAGCATCTGTGGCCCACGTGCACGGATATTCAGTGGAAGAAGCATTACACAGCCTGTATAATTCAGCACGATCTGTGATAATACCAGAAGAAGGGATCTCATGTGAAATCACTAGACTGAATTGCACGTAGGATTCAAGGAAGAAGCCCAGTCTGCTGCATTCACTCGGTGGGGTGGCAATATGGCTGAGCCACCAACCCGTGGCACGCCCATCCATCGTAGACAGTTCCTGGTTTGCTACCTGCCTTGGAAAAAGCTCCTCCCCTACCACCACTTTAAAACAGGCTAGCTCCAAAACTAGCCCTGGCATCTATTTACGGTCATTTTCTTATCTATTTACCTCCTAGAAAAATCATTGCAAGACCCTTTCCTCAACATTTTCCTATGCCTTAAATTTGGGGCAACACGTTTTAAGACGACCTCGTTATAGGCAAGTCCCCAGACGTTTCCTAATCTGAGTTGCCCAGAGTGCACACACCAATCTGTTGCCCCATTGCCGCTATAGGGATACCGTACTGGACCACAGTGTCTTTGACATGCACACAGTAGGATACAGGGCAGCTTGAGGGGGCCAAAGGGTTCCGACTGTTTTCAGAATAATTTGCTTAGAACACCTGTTTCTCCTGTGTTTGTGGGTCAGGGGGACGGTAGTCAGAGGAGGACAAGACTCCCGCTCCAGAGCTTCAGAGGTCTGCATAGGAGCAGGGACAAAACCGGGCGATAGATTTTCAAAGCTCAACTGCTTTGACACCGAGCAGGAGGGGTAGAATGCATATTGCAGGCACCACAACAGATTCAGGAACTTTGACTGTCAAACCCTCTTCCCTGAAACAACATAGCTCTTCTCACAGAAGCTGTGCTGACCAGAGTCTATACGGGACAGCAATGTTAGCACTCTAGTAGCGTGTGGTCAACATGGATGCTCGTGTTGGAACTGTTTCATCTGGGAACAGGAAAGAAAGTTCTGCCTCCGACACTGAAATCCTCCTGCCCCATCCTTGACAGAGGCAACCCCTTGTCTTGTGCAGACACACGTGTTCCTGGGAAGCAGCCTCCCACTCGCGAATGAAAGCTGTATGTTTTGTCCTCCTGTGTGAGGCTTGCAAAACATATTCCGCAACTATATTCGCTTTACGTTCTAAACCTTAGGCAAACTATGCTGAAGAGGCCACAGAAAATTTAGGGGCCCTGGGCTCCAGATACAATCTGCAGTGCCAATCACGAGGGAGAATAGAGCCTCACTAGACTTTGCAAGAGCACAAAATGCACTCGTACTGTTGTTAGCTACATACGTTATTGGCTCCTCACCTAACACAGAATCTTGGAGAAAAGCTTAAAACAACTAAAGATGTAAACATCAACAAGAGTGTCCATATCCTGGGTCATCAAGTGACAAGAGAGTCCATGGATGGATTCTCCAACAATCTTATATTCCACTAATCCACCCCCTTTCCCCTCACTTCTGTAAGTTTCTGTTTTCCCTTAGTCATCTATGCCAAAAGCGTATCCTGAATGCCTTCCCACATGCCTCTGTCACCTTTCCCACAGTCCCTCCATACACCTTACATGCCCATTTCTTCTCACGTTGATGTTTCAGAAGTCCTGAGAGGCTGATTGTCCCAGAAAAGGATCATGCATTCACCTTTAAAAGAACATGTGGATTCAACACGAAAGCGAACTTTAAGATTTCCATCATCCTGTGCTTAGCTACTGTGTATGATGATACCCAAAATGAAGGATTTTGGAGGTCCCAGCAAACTGGGCCCTGGAAACCCAGTAACCCCTTTCCTTGAACTATCTCTGCTTCCACAGGACGAAGTCAGCCTCCAACTAAGCTGTCTTTTGCTTTTACCTCTCCCACTCTGTCCTGTAGGAAGAATCCCAACACATCCCACACCCATTCACTCTACAACTTTAGAGGCCCAGCTCCAACGCAGACTGGTTATTTCCATTAAGAGAATAAAGCACGTGGATTGATCAATTCATTATGACACCCGAATAAAGTGGATAAACATACACACACACACACACACACAAACTCAAAGACACACACACACACACAGACACAGAGTCACACATCCTTGAGAATGTTTATTTTTCATTCCATACAATCCACATTTACCCCCTCTTCCTGAATTTTTGTGACTCGATCTGTTTTTCCTTTAGTTCCTGTGCATAAGACCATGCTGAGTACTGCCGTCCTGCATATGGCTGTAACTTTTTAGGAGTTCTGCTGTATTAGGTAAAATCTGATGCTCCATCATATTCAACTCAACAACTGGGAGTCCCCTAGAGAAACACAAACTCATGTTAAAACGCATTTTCTCTGAGCCATACTTTGAAATGTTTCAATTGTGGGGCCCGCTGAGAAAAGGATATCCCTTCCCCATTTGTGATCCCTTAAACTTCCTCCTACCACGTGTTACAAACTGTTCTGCGCAATCCCTGCCCCATTCCCAGTATTGTCTGTGAGGGGAGTCAGCTAACAAGATGCACTGGGCCCTAAAAGCACACACAAGTCTGATGGGGCAACAGCTTAAGGAAATCCATCAATCTAAACAGTCCTTTGTGGTTTGGGGCAAGGATGACCAGGACGCACATTCAGGGAGCCCAATCTCATGGGGTTGGTGGGATGACTGCCGGTGGGGTTGACAGCCGTGGAATCAAGTGCCACAGACTGAACTGAATGATTTTCAGCTTTACTTCTCATTGATTCTGGAAATGGACGATTCTTCACTGGGCTTAAGACTCCACAGCTATCACCCGCTTTGCAGTGCAGTCTCTAACGTGCCTTTTCAGCCCAATGCCATGAACGTCCTGGATTCTGTCACTCTCTGTCTTCCTCTCAAGGAATTTCTACATGTACGAAAGGAGCCTCAATTTCTACATTTCTGAAATGAGCACCCAGGCTCCCTGAATAGGCAGGTGTGTCAACCCCCTTATACTGGGCATCAAACAGCTCCAGTGCCAACTAACGGCTCACCTGACGTCTCTGTTCCCTCTTCAGGTGGCTTCATCCTCTTGTAGTATTGCAGGGGATTGCGCCACAGGTCCTTACATAGGATCTGTCAGGGGACTCAATCGGGAAAGGCCTCATCAGGGCTCAGAAAGGTGACCCAAGCAGCTGGGAACACACGGGGTCATTCCTCATGTTTCCCAGTGAGGACTCACCTCAGCAATCTTGTTAGATCCTGCGAAGTTGTGGTCAGAGAACCAGTTGAAGAAGTTAAGGCTGCTGTTGTGGTGTCTGCGGCGATAGGCCTCCACTTCATAATCCGGATACCACTCAATTGGAGTGGAATGAGAAGCCCTGTATTCTACAGAGACAGGAGTTTTTGTGGGAAGGGGGCTGGATCCCGTTGGCAATGATCCACCCACCATCTTCCTTCCACTACCCATCCTGGGAGCCACCTGTCACCTGTGATGTTCACCAGATATTCCTTGGTAATCACTTTATTCTGGAAGTAGGGGTTACTCCGAAAGAACAACATGATCTTGCAGAGATGAACAGGATGCTTCTCTTCTTCCACCTGTCAGGACAAGGTGGAGAAAGCTTAGATAGGTTTTCGGGTGAGGTGCTCACTCTTGCTTACAGGAATGAATTATTTCCCTTACCCTCCCCCGCTAAACCCTCTAGCCCCAGTCTTCCTGGCCTCACCTCCAGGCTGACCATGTAGCTCAGCATGTCTTCATCTTCGTCAGTGATCAGGGCTGACATCTGGGGGTGGTTTGCAATCTGATTTAGGTCAAAGAGACTTTACACACGATGGAAGGGAAAGCGAGGAGCAACAGGGAAGAAGGCCTAAGAGCACCCAGAGGCTGGGGTAGGGGATTTCTCAGATCTGCTTCCATGTATGATCTCCTTTCGCCTCCCCGTCCCCGTAAACTAAGGCCTCCTGTGTTCACAGAGGGTGTATGATTCTGAGGCTGACTGCACTGACATGGGGAGGCGCGATTTGCAGAGACTTGCTGGTGTCTGAGGAGTGGCAGAATCTGCTTATAGCCGAAGACGCCCAGTCCCAGATCGGACTAGCAAGGGGCAGCAATCACACTCCCTTAAAAATAGCTTCATTCACTGAAAAACCTCTTCCGCTCTGAACTCGCTTCTGCTCTTCAAAAAGATGCCCCAAACGTCTGCTGCTCGGCATCACCAAGGGTTTCTCTGCCGCATGCAGGACAATAGTACCCACGCCTGCTCCGGCTTTCCACAGCCACACTGGTCCGTGGCAACTCCCCTTTGTTCCCCAAAGAGTCACATCGACGCCGAGCTGCCCATCGGTCACTTACACTTCCCCGAGAGCACCTCTCCACTAGAAAGGCCGAAGAAACACTGAGAAGGATACAACATTGGCCCAGAAGCCAGGGACGCTCTGGATGACGGCGCCTCTGCGGTCTAGCTGGGGCTTGCGCCTCCGCTCCATCTTTTCCCGCTGCCGAGAAAAGGCCTTCCTGGCTTGGGCATTAACCGGCTCCAGCTCCACCTGAACGGCCAGCAGCTCCTCCAGTGCAGACTCTGGGGTCATGGGCCCAGGGCCAGGCACAGCCTGCTGTGCCCGCTGGGCCTCCTCCCGCCGCTCCACGAGGCCCTCCTCCTCCGCCACCACCTCCACCTCCGCCATTATGTCATCCAACAGCAGCACCGCCTCCTCCCCCAAAGCCGCCTGCTCACTCTCCACCCCGGCCGCCCCCTCCTGTACAGCCTCCATCCTGAAGGCGGTGCCCTCCTTGGCACTCGCACACACCAAGGCCTGTGCTGCCCGACCCACGCCACAGAAACCCTGCCGCAGCCTCTCTGGCACCCGGTAGGTCAGCGAGCCCTCAGGGCGCATGCGCCGGGCTTCCAGGCGCCCCCTAAGGGACTGCGCGCGAAGGGCCGGGGGGCCGCACCCAGGCCGACTTCCTCCCGTCGTGGCCAGTCAATGGGAGGGCGGTGGGCGTCTCCCTGGGCGGCACAGCCACTGGCGGGCCTGCATCTCCAGCCCCCCCACCCCCCGCCTTCCCTGCCCAAGCCTCCTCCGAGAAGCCCTTGGAGCTTGTGCCGGGTAGCTAGGCATCCGGGCACACGCGGGCTGCGTGGCCTTTGGAATTGTGGGCATGGCAGCCCTGTGCCCTGAAATCCTCAGTGTGGCAAGCCATGAACATCTCTATGTGTCATGAACACAGGAAACATCTCTCTTCGTTAGGCAGGCCAGGTAGATGGTACGGAGGTAATACAGCAGATGCAGAGAACTCTCTCTGGTTGCTGGGGCTAGGGCGGCAGGGGTGTCCTGGGGGAAGTGATCGGGGCGGGCACGTGGGAGGAAAGTCGCCTGCCGGTGCTGAGGTGGAATTGATCTGCTGTAGAGGCCAGAGCCCCGGCACACACTCTCACAGGTCGAGGCAAATAGAGGCTCCGAGTACCATGCTTCCTCCCTGAGGATGCTGTACTCCAAGGAGCATTCCAAAGGGCCTCTTGTCCTATGCCCTGGGCACACCAGAGGCCAGCCGCCAGGGTTGGCCATTGTCGGCCTGCGCGCACGCTGTTGTGCGCTGCCTTGACGACCCAGAGGCTCCCGCACCCGCAGCAGCGGTTGCGGTGCCTGTTGGTGGGGCTCTGCAAGCCCAGGGCCGGGGCCTCTGGCTCCCGAGCTCCTGTGCGCAGTTGGGCCTGCTGGGGACCGGAGCCCTTTGGCCAGTGCGGGATCTGCGGGTCCAGCGGAGCTCCTCAGGAAACCTGGGTCCACGTAGGTGTGGGACCAGGTTCACAGCAGGGCGACGCCCGTGGGTCTTGCAGGGAGCGGGTCTGCTGGGGAGCGGGCCCCCAGAGCCTACGGGTGCGGGGCATGGGCTGGGCTGGGCTGGGCTGCGCAGGCCCAGGGTCTGTGGGAGCACCCAGGAGAAAACCGTGTTCAGGCTGGAGGCAATGCTGGAGAGGACGGCCGGGGTACAGAGCAAGGAGGCGGCCTTGGAAGAGGAGGCGGTGCTGAAGGTGGAAGACATCATGGCTGAGGTGGAGGTGGTGGTTGAGGTGGAGCCCGACGTGGGGTGGCAGAAGGAGGGCCAGCGGGCACAGCCTGGCCCTGGACCGAGCACACCGGGGCCGTCAATGGACTCGCTGGAGGTCCTTCACTTGGAGCTGGGCTCCGTGAATGCCCTAGGCCACAGAGCATCTCCGCCTTGTGAGCCAGAGCCATATCCTTGCGGCTGCCGATTTGGGATGGCGGGCAGCAGGGGATAGTCATCGGGCCTCGGGGGGTATGGGGGCTGTTTGCGGGGAGGAGCCAGGTGGGAGGCACGTGGGGTCAGCCAGGAGGCAGGGGATGGGGGACAGCGTGGGAGCCGAGGCCACGTTCCCGCAGCTGTGAGGGCAGCTCGCTTGTAGCAGCCCTGGGAGCACGTGGTAGGGAAGGGGAGCCAGGGCCAGCACTGACAAGGGAGAATCGCGGCGCCAAGGTCCCTTTGCGCACAGCCCAAATTCGAAGGACGCGTTTCCCTGGGAACGTCCCTGGAGGACGGGGAATCTGTATGCCATTACCAGCCATTGAACCACCCCTGCTCTCGGTGCCTGTTTCCAGCAGGCTCACCCCAGAAACGCAAGGTGCTTAAGACGGGTTCGCGGCGCATGGGGCTGCCGACCACCTGACGGCGGGCACCAGCTCCGCAGATGCGCATTCATCCAACTGCAGGCGCTGCACTCAAAGGCGTGTAGGCCCTGAGCCTGTATAACTTCCTCTGGACCCACGCAATTCCCTTGGAGAGCGCCAGGCACGACCCTGCTGTGGCTTCTAACTACAAGGCTTCCCTCAGGTGGACAGGCCCACCCCTCAGGGAGACTAGGATAAGAGGACACCACACACCCGGACATCAGCGGAGCATGTCCAGCACCCAGCACACAAAGGCCTCCTGCATCTCAGAAACTCAGAGAAGCAGCCGCCTCACACCACCCCCGGCCCCTCCCGTCCCTCAGCTGCAACCACCTGCCCACTTTTTCTGCCTCCCGTCTCTGGTCAGCCCAGGCCGTCTTGGCCGGGGTCCACCCACTCCAAAAACCACCACAGTTGTGGCGTTGCCTCCTCGCCAGACAGAGATAGAGGGCCAACAATGAAGGGTGACTGGCCAAATGTCTGGGAGATGGCCCTGTTCCACATTGTCTGTGTTCTTGCGAAATTGCAAGGCGTCACGAGGCTTGCCCACCCAATCCTCTGGAGAGTTCTTGCGCAGAGGTAGATTGTTTGGCACACGAGATGTCGGCGTGGGTCGGAAAGCATGCGGAAGTCCTGCTTTGCTACGTGATGGATTTGCAGGTCAGGCTGGGGAGCCTGGGTCTGTGGGAGGAGTCCAGTGTCTGAGTCAGTTTGAGGTCCCCCTGGGGACCAGGGTTGTCTCAGTGGGAGAGCTGGGAAGGGGAAACTCATGGTTCACTACAGCTAGTAGGCCACCTCAGCCCGGCTAGTTGAGATGGTCCCATTGAATCCATCCTCTTTCTCCTTGATCCGGCAGGTGGAGGAACTCAGCCATCCCGGTTACCGGTGGCAGGATGATTTCCTTTCATCCCAACCTTTATTTCCACAGTGAAATCATCATGAAGGAGCACTGTGTTGGCATCCTCGGTAAGGAATGCCTCCCAGCATGGTAGGGGAGCTGGTGTGTGGGAGGGTGGGACTGGCATGAACCTTCCTGACTCCTCTCCCTGCAGGCTACAGGGTGTCTCATTCCACTGCAGTCCAGCGGTTCTGGGATCACGAAGGTCAAGCCTCCAGCTGCAGGCAGTACACCTCCTACCTGAGCTCATTCAGCTGTTTGGCTGAACATGACTGCCCGGGTTTTGGCAGGATTGCTGAGGTGGGGTTCGCCGTGGGGCATCATGGGAAAGGACCTAGCTGGTCATTCCTTGGTCTCTGGGGAATTGGCTTTGAACTGTCACCTGAACTGTCCTGGACCCACTTCTGCAGTCCCCTAGATCATCAGCCAGGGCCTATGGCTCAATCCATTGCAGTTCTATCCCATGGAGAGAGGGTCAGCCCTAGAGGCGGAACAGAGAGGAGGCCAGGCGAGCAGCCTAGGGCTGGGAAGGGCTGGGAACTGAGAGGCCTTTTGACCTGGATCTGGGCCCCACATGGAGAACCCAAGGATCCGGGAGGAGACTGCAGTGAGCAATCCCAGGCAATCCGTGGGTTGGGGGAGAGAGGCCCATCAGGGACATGTAACACCCACATTTCAGGATCGGGGCACCTTAAGCCACTATGATGCATATGTGGCTAAAGTCAGTGGGTGACAAGCAGGGCTTAAGGGATAGCTGTCTCATCATTACTCGCCAGCTCCCTGCCCTGCGGTAAGACCTGCTACCACCTGGGGCTCATTTTGAGATCAACCAGGGCCCCCTTTTTCTCCACGAGGATGTCCACCTGAGGCCCACCTAGGTCTGTGTCCTTTCACAGTGTTTCTCCCAGGCCAGTCATGTTTTGTTTCCATGACCCCGGCTGCCTTGACATGTGTAATCCTCTCTGCCATCCTCACTCCCGCTGCCCTGCCTTCCCATATAAGTTAGTCCACCTCACACGGAATCTGGAGGACCACACTGGGCTCCAGTGTGAGGCAATGTTTTATTTTCTTCAGGTACATGTATTTTAGGGCTACCTCCAGGGCTGGGAATGTGAAGAGATTGCCAAATGGCTGGGGACCTTCAGTGTGTGTCCAGGGAGGGAACCCGGCTGGGAATTAAGGCCCACCTGAGTAATGGTATGGACATCCAGTGTCAGTTATCTTGATAAAGGCCTGCTTTCTTACATCACCTACTATTAATATAAAAGTTAATTCCTTAGAATATTGAAAAAACAAATCTATGTATGAAGAAATATAATTTGTTCATAATTGTATGGAAAAAGCTGCCGACCGATCCATTTTCCATTACAATTCTTATGGGAGACTTGAAGGGTTTAGCAAGTTTTAAGATGCATTTCTATTCGTCTACTCCTGCCAGTTTTTATGATCATTTTTGTAATACAAGGACATGGCCTCTGGAAAGTTTTTGAGGGACTTTCAGCTTCTTTTAGGGTAGATAGTTGTAAATTTTGAATTGTTTTCCCCTGCGGTTCTTTTGAGGTTACTCTTTGTACTTTCTTTGGGGGGTGTTAAATTTGTTTTCTTGTTTCGCCCTTGTGGAACTTTCGTTTTCAAGGAATTGTGTGTGAGTGTGTGTGTGTGTGTGTGTGTTAGATATGGGAGTTAGCCTGTGAGCATGTTTTCGAATACGGATTTTTTTTTACTTATCAATTTTGGGGGTGTGTGTGTGTGTGTGTGTGTGTGGGTGTGTGTTTGTTTCTTTTCAGTTGGAGTCTCACTGTGTCATCCAGGCTGCAGTCAAGTGGCAAACTCTCAGATCACTGCAACCTCTCCCTCCAGCTTCAAAGGATTCCTCTGCCTGCTGATGCTGCTTTTCCCCCACATGAGGAGAACATGCAGACAGTTATAAAAAATTCTGTGCCTGGGTAGGTATGAAAATATAATTTCAATGAATGGTAAATTTCACAAATACAGTTTCACATTTGTATTTTGCAACATTTTGAAAATTTTAGTTGCTGACACATGAAATTCTGTGTTGACTTTCATGTTAAATGTACACTTTTGAATCAATTTCAACAGTGACAACTAGCGAAGGCCAAGCGTTAGTTCAGGAAGCTGAAAGCAGTCGTTCTGTAAAAAAAACCATATTTATTGAAGGTATATTTAGAGAGATTTTAGAAGGCTTCAGTCAATATTTTTGTTTCTGTTGCTCTGGTGTTTTATCATACAGGGACCAGACTGTAGCATCAGTAGCTACAGTTACAAGGCTACCAAAGACTCAGTGCTATAGAAATTATTATTGTGGAAATTGGCAGCCTGGCTGTCTGTTTGAGGAGACTAGAGGACTTAGGAGTTTCCACCCAAAGTACAAGGGCCTGGTTTAGTGGGTGGCCTTCTTTTGCTGAAGTAGATAAGATCCAGGAGAAGGGTGGATTCACTGTAGTAGCCAGGGCTTTGAGACTGGTAAAGCTTATTTGTCTCCTAGTGCCATTGCCAGATATTGGTCTGTGCATAAAGGCACTTCCCGGACTCGCTGACTCCTGTAAATTCAAATGTAGAATTTAGATTTAAATCCCTATTCCAACTTCTTAAACTTAGATCTAATAGGTGGGTAATAAAATATGTATTCAGAAGAAAGGGAGACGTCAGGTAGGTATATAAGCAAATCATCCTGGTCAAATACCTTCAAAAATATTACTACAAAAAATTACTGAAGATTAAACCTTAAAAAAGTTATTTTAATTGGAGAAACAGAAAAAGGTTGGAGTCATTTTAAACCCTGAGGTGTAAAGGTACTGTTATTAGATTACAGGAATTATATACAATGAATAATTTGTGGGAAGAGCAGCATACTATCTCTTTAGTATGGCTAGAGATTCATAAGCCGTGTAAGAAAACTCAGAGATTGAGAAGAAAATGTTTTCAGGGATTTTGTTCTGTTATGAAAGACTTTTAAAATGGTTTCCTACTGATCAAGGATTCACTTATATTTATCACTGAGGCATATGCTATATACCCTTCTATATAGGGATGAAGTTATAGTTTCTATCATGTAGATACAAAAACATGTGACTCTGTACCACATTTGCATTAGAGCCTTTGGCATGATTAATGAAGCAAACGGTGGAACTGTCTACGTCAGGTTACAGGTGGGCACAGCTGGAAGCTTCCGTCCCTTGCACTTTAACATTTCTGCATTCTCATCTGTCTCTCCTGGAAAGAAAACGGACTATAACTATCCTAAAGGACATATGTTACATGAAGACACTAAGTATTGAGATAAGACCATGAGTTGTCTTATCAGTGTCTTGGCATTACATTTATATGTATAACTTATACAAAAAATCCAGTTTATTTTATCACGATTACATATTACATCCCACATTTATGTATTTTATTATCTTTCCAGTGACTGTTTTGTTTTGTTTTGTTTTGTTTTGTTTTGAAATCTCGTTCCACTCTGTCACTCAGTCTGGAATGCAGTGGCCTGATCTCAGCTCACTGCAACCTCCATCTCTTGGGTTCAAGGATTTTAAAAATTAGTAAAGAATTTTCAATTGAGTTAGCAGAAGTAAAAATAAACTTAAGTGGAAATAGAACAACAAAATTGTAAACACTATTTCTCAGCAATTCATAGATTATCATACTAGGAATTGAAATGTACTTAGAACTCAATGATACCGCCAATATTAAAGATTAAATCTGTGAGTAGCAAGAAAAGTGATATTACAATAGGAGTTTACAGACAAATATTTCTCTAATAACTTGAAAATTAATGTACTAGATATTTCAATAAAGAATTAGAAAAGAAACAACAGAATCAATTCTGAAAAACTAAAGTGTGGGAATAATGATGTAGACAAAATTAGTAAAACATACAAAGCTAACCTTTGCTTGTTGGAGAAATATAATAAATGATGCAACCGTCAGTCAAGTTTAGAAAAAAAGGGAGAAAACATAGATAAAACTAAGAATTTAAAAGGTACACAACCATAGATACAGCATAGATTAAGAAGCTAATAAGGAAATATCATTAACACCTTAACCTACAAATTTGAAAACTTAGATCAAATAGACAGATATTTATAATCTGTCTATATATATAGACATATATATCGCTTTCTATATATATTTTCATATTTATACATAATTTTTATATTTGTATCTTACATTTATATATATAATATATAAACATAAGCTATGTATATAGCTTAGTAAAATTGATACAAGAAGACATATATAATCTGTATAGTCTCATAAATGTTCAAGGAAATAAAGGATTCTTCCTAGAGATAAAACGCTAGGCTCAGATTTTTTTCCCCAGGCAGAGCATTTCAATATATATGAAGAATTCTATAGAATAAAAAAGGGAAAATCCTAAACTCATTGTGTGAAGCAAGCAGAACTTTGACGCCAACAAGCCATAAACTGAGTGTAGAAAAAGATATGAAAATTAAGGCCATTCTCATTCCTGAAGCAAATCGTAAAATCCCAAATGTAACAAGATTTATGTGGATTCTTTGAGGGTTAGAAGGAAATTTCCTTCTGCCAGATCCTGCTACTCTGGGACAACCCACACACAAATTTATGTTTTGAGATTTTCTGTAATACCCATGCAATATGGAACTGGCTTGACAATCTGTGTGATAGCCAGCCTGTGGCCATGACTTCTCAGGGACACAAATCTTTTCTGTTTGCCTCCTTGTTCTGCTCAGCTCCAAGAGAACTTTGACCAAAGTTCCTTGAGCTTGGAAATAGGAATGGGTTTGCTTCTGTTTCACCCTTACTGTGAAGATACAGTCCGGTGGAATCCAGATCCACTGGGAGAGAGTCGGCTATTAAACTCTTTTCATGAGTAGTCCCTAGGCCTTGACTGGAGTCTTTCTTGAGATATGAGGCTAATAGTTCCTTCTTGGTCCACCACTTTTTGATATAATTAATGCTTCTTCTATTGGGAATTTTTAATTGTTTGGGAAGTGACATGGTTTGGTGTGTCTCCATTCAAATCTCAGCTTCAATTGTATCTCCCAGAATTCCCTCGTGTTGCGGGTGGGACCCAGGGGGAGGTAATTGAATCATGGGGGTCGGTCTTTCTCATGCTATTCTTGTGACAGTGAAGAAGTCTCACGGGATCTGATGGGTTTTTCAGGGGTTTCTGCCTCAGGTTCTTCCTCATTCTCTCTTGGCATTGCCATGTAAGAAGTGCCTTTATTCGTATACCATGATTCTGAGGCCTCCACAGCCATGTGGAACTGTCAGTCCAATTAAACCTCCTTTTATTCCCAGTTTCAGGTATCTCTTCTTCAGCAGCGTGAAAATGAACTAAGACAGGAGGTTTGGTCCAAATAACCTTGGCTTCCATGATAGAAGATAGAAGTTGCTGAAATGTTTAATCTTTTCTGTGGCAACCTTTTGCAGTGGGTCTTATTTTTCTCATTTTTTTTTCTTGTTCTCTTCACCTTTGTTTCTCACAGGGTACTCTCGCTCTGTAGACCAGGCTGGAGCGCAGTGGCAGGATCTCAGCTCAACACATCCTCCGCCTCCCAGGTTCAGCCTCTGCAGTAGCTGGGATTACAAGCATGCATCACCACGCTCAGCTAATGTTTTGTATTTTTAGTAGAAGCCAGGCTTCACCATGTTGGCCAGGCTGCTCTCCTACTACAGATCTCAGGTGACCCGCCCGACTCAGCTTCCCAAAATCCAAAGTGCTGGGAATACAGGTGTGAGCCACCGAGCCCAGCCAACTCCAGTATTTTTTACCTAAGCCAGTGGATGAGTGGAGTTGCCTTTATTTTTTTTTTCATGGTCTCGCTGTGTCATCCAGGCTGGAGTGCAGTAGTCTGATCTTGGCTTACTATACAATCTCTGCCACCCATGTTCAGGTGGTTCTCCTACCTCAGCCTCCCAAGTAGCTGGGACCACAGGAAAGTGCCACTAGGTCTGGCTAATTTTTGTATTTTTGGTAGAGACAGCTTTTTGCCATGTTGCCCATGCTGGTCTCCAACTCCTGACCTCAAGTGACCCACCAACCTCGGCCTCCCAAAATGTAGAAATTACAACAAGAGCCACGAAGCCTGGCCTGGAGTTGTGGCTTTTTGACATAAGAAATCTGTGGAGGGAAAAGCTTGGTTTGTGGGAGCACCTGAGCTCAGTTTGGCTCAAAGGTTTGGGATACCTATTATTGAGTGGCAGTGATGGTATGTTGTTAATGTACAATATCTTCCTGTATATAGCATACGTCTATGCTCATCAGATATTTTCAGGTAAAAAAAGATAGTCTTTCCAGTAGTTTGAGCCATTATAGCAATTTCCACCAGGGGATTTCAAAGTCCAATTCCAGTTGTGGGCAACAGTGATTAACATAATGGTAATTAATGAGAAGAGATTTTGAGACGTCCAGCCACGTTTCCATGTCAGTGCCTTGTTTGCAGTATTATGAAGAAAGAGTGCATTGGACTAGATACTAAGAAAAACATTGAATTATTTTTCTTGCCTCTATAACATCAAAGGACAATTAGAGATATAGAAACTATGGAACATTTCACAGCATGGCTTGACATTTCACTGAACTTTTATCCTTTTAACCATGTACAAAGTTTGTTACCTATGCAAAGGTAGGACTGCAAAAGGAAGACAGAGGTGGAGTCAGAGGTCACAATCCACAGCAAGGTGACACTCTTGTTGATCGCACCTTGAAAGCCAAATTAGAGCGAGAATTAACTTTCCGGTTGCCGTAAGAGAACAAGGAGAATGAAGCTACCAGCAGTTAACAGTATTGGATTAATTGAAATGAAGGTGGACAGAGTTTTTTGGCTTTCCATCAAATTGAGTAAAGAAAAGGTAACCGCTTATCTAATTTCACACACATACAATTATGGATTAATTAAAAGATTACACAACCCATATATTATGGGTTTCTCATATAAGTGTATATATACATGGGCAAACTCACAGTGTGCCAGTATGTGTCTATATCCAAATATATACAAATCCATGTCCAACAGTTAGCAAGTGAGAAATTCTCTTCCATTTCACCATTCCCTTTCCTAGAATTTTTTCATAAATATAATTTTTCCATATATTTGAAGCCTACTCTCTGGAGGCATGTAATGCATGCATGCAGTAAACCTGTGCGATATCACAATGTTGGTGTCAGAGAAAACTATAACACCGATGTTATAAAAGATTAATTGTGAGGAGAAAGTTATGCTTCGCATTACTACAAATACACAAGTATGATTTCATCCAAAGCTGAAATCAGTCAATATAATTTGTTTTTAATGTTTTATTTAAAATCCTTAATTTCAACAGGATTACTCAAGAAAAATAACGTTATTGGTATTAAATAATGTTGATGTATTCCCTTTAATTGTTGATTATTTAAAATGTCAGTAAAATAGTAAATGGCACTGTACAATGTAGTTTCATGAAGCATTCTTTATAGTTTTCATAAAATTGATAGTCTCCATGGAATATTTTAAGACTGAGGAAGTTCCATATATCATTTGATTGTACTTTCACTTTATTACTTGCTTGCATGTCATAACTGATGGAAATAAAACTATGTATATTTACAAATATGAAAAACATGGACTTTTGTTTACGTTTTCTAGTGAGACACAGTTACCAATAATTTTATCTATATAGGAAAATTTTTACAAACCCAAAGTTCTAATGTTTCTTTTCTTTGAAGTTTCGTATTTCAGTCTAGGTATGTAATGGAATTGGCTGTGATCATTCTTTGATTTCACTGTTATTTGTGAGTTTCTGATATGCTTTTAGGAATGTATAGAGCTTAACGCTTGCTTTCTTCTTCTTCCTCTACCTTTGGACCTGTATATGCGATGTCTGCAGTAATGTGCAGTGCTATCTGACATACGGTTGCTGAAAGATACAAGCATATATAGAATTCTTCGTTTCAGTGAATCTTTAGGAACAGACAAGTAACCTGAGAGATAATTACGGTATGAATGTAAGCAAGCAGTTTATCATAGAGGTACAATAAGGGTGAAAATAAATTTAAAAATACATGCCTCATCCAAAACATGAGGTAGTAAAAATGAAAAATTTAAGTTGGCATAAAGAACACTTTAAAAGTTCTGATTCTTTCTGGTGAGAGCAAGGAGCTCAGAAACCATGAGAAAGTCCTTCAAAGCTGCATGTTGGATTTGCAGGTCAGGATGGAAAGCCTGGGTCTGGGGGAGGGTGCTAAGGTCCTGGTCAGGTTGAGGTCCTTCTGGGGCTCAGGTGTGTCTCAGCGGGAAAGCTGGGAAGGGGAAACGCATGCTTCACCCCGGCTAGAATGCCACCTCAGCCCACCTAGATGAAATTGCCCCTTCACAGCCCTGTTTCTCCTTCTTGGACAGGCAGGTGGAGGAACTCGGCCACCCTGAATACAAGGGGTAGGAAGAAGTTTGCCTTTCATCACAACATTTACTTCGGAAACAAAGTGACGACTAAGGAGTATTGCGTTGGCATCCTCCCTGAGGAGTAGAGGGGGTAGTACCTCGGGAGCTGGGCCTGGCGTGCGCCTTCCTGACTCGTCTCCCTCCAGGATACAGGGCGACTGGCTCCACTGCAGTCCAGTGGTTCTAGGGTCATGCAGGTGAAAGCCCGAGTTTCCCGCAGGTCACTGCCTGAGCTTCTTCAGCTGGTTGTCTGACTGTGAGGGCCCAGGTTACGGCACGATTGCTGAGGTGGGGCAGCTATGGGGCATCATGGCAAAGGACCTTCTTCGACATTCCTTGGCATCGGAGGAATTGGCTTTGAACCAGAACCTGACCTGTCACGACCAATTTGCCCAGTCCACCAGATCATCAGCCAGGGCCTGTGGCTCTATATTCTGCAGCACTACCCAAGGGAGTTAGGCCCTCAGAGAGGGAACAGAGAAGAGGCCAGGGAAGCAGCCCAGGGCTGGGGGTTGACAGGCCTGTGGGTCCTGGAGTTAGGACACACATAGAGAAGCCAAGGCTCAGGGAGGAGACTGCAGTAAGGAAACTCAGGCCATCATGGGCTGGTGGAGAAATGCCCATCAGGGAACTGTGGTACCCACATTTCACGATGGGGGAACCGTAATCTGCTTAATAGGCACAAGTAGCTAAGGTCAATGGGTGGGAAGCCAGGGTCAAGAGATAGCTCCCTCATCATCCCTTGCTAGCTACTTCCCTGTCCTGAGGCTTGCTTCTACCTGGGGTTCAGTTTGGGCTCAACCAGGGATCTCTCACCCTCCACACAGATGCCCACCTGAGGCCTCTCTAGGTCTGCGTCCTCCCAGAATGACTCTCCCAGGCCTGCTAAGTACCGTTTGGATGACACCACGCTCCACTGACATACTTGGTTCCCTCCGCCATCCTCATTCACCCAGCAACTCCCCACCCCAAAAAAGGCAGGCCACCGCACAGGGAATCTGGAGGACCACACAGGGCTCACAGGGGAGGAAATGTGAAGAGATGGCAAAACAGAACAGGACATTCCGTGTGTTTCCAGAAGGCAATCTGGCTGGATATTAAGGCCCACCTCAGTATTGGTGAGGACACCCAGTGTCTCTTGGCCCTGAGCTTGTGCACACAAACACGCACATTGTCTAAACGGCATTGACATCACTACTACCTGAGTCATCCTCAGATTCTATACAACCCCTGTAAAAATATCAATGACACATTCTTCTTAGAAAAACAATCTGGGAATCCCAAATTTGCTATGAAATGGCAGAAGATCCTGAAAACCCAGAGCAATCCAGTAAAAAGCACAAAGCTGGAGCCACCACACTACCTAACTTCATGATATACTACTACAAAACTTTTTGTACCAAAATACAATAGCACTGGCAGAAAAGCAGAGACTAGAGCTTAGGAAAAACAACAGGAGCCCAGAACTAAGTCACTGCATTTGCAGCTCACAGCCTTTTCCCAAAGAAGCAAGAACGCCCAATGCAAAATCAAGTATCTTCTATAAACTAGGTTGGGGAAATCTGAATAGCCACACAAAGGATTTTACAAGTGGATTATTTATCACCAAACTCCAGTGTCAGATGTGAAACGATAAAAATAGCAGAAGAGATCACAAGGAAGAAGCTCCATGGCGTCCGTGTGTGCAATGATGGTCTCAAAGTGACTGCAAGAACACAGTAAACACCATCAAAAATAGAGAATGGAATCATATCAAACTAAAGTGCTTCACCACACCATAGAAAACTCAACATACAGAAGGGGCATCCTACAGGATGGGAGCAATGATTGGATCACCATACATCTGTTCATGGGGGAATAGTCACAGTACATAAGGAACTCCCAACAACTCAATAGCATGAAAACAAATGGGCGAAGGCTGCGAAGACTCATTTGTGAAACTGAGACATACAGTTGCCCAGAAGACACACTAAAAATTCCTCATTATCCCCAATCCATCACGAAAATGCAAATCAAAAACACAATGAGATTTCTTCTCACTTCAGTCAGAATGCATATTATCCGAAAGACAAACAAACAAAAAAAAAAAAAGAAAGAAAAGAAAACCCTAATCTCTGGTGAGGAGGCAGAGAAAACGAATTCCCTGCTCACTTTTGGGGAGAATGTAAATTAGTGCTGGCATTAAAGAAGCTTTATGGCTCTTATTTAAGTATAAACAGCCTTCAGAAATCTACAAGTAGAACCACCCACTATATGATCCAGCAAATCAGAATACCCGGGCACGCCCGCCAGTACACAGATCAGTATGTTGAAGCGGTGCGCGCACCCATGCAATTATTGCTGCACTCATTACATTTTTGCTGTAGCCAAAATGCGGAAGCAACCTGAGAGTCCCTCCATTGATAAGTGGATTAAAAAATGGGGCAAAAACGCATATGCGCAACGGAAATATGCGCTGCAATAAGAAATCAGGAAATCCTGCCAGTTGTGAGAATGTGTGGGAATCTGCTGAATGTGTGCATGCCATTCTGTTAAGTGACATAAGCCAGGTATCAGAAAGGAAAGTAGCACATGATCTCATTCTTATATGAAATCAAAAAAGCGGACTTCACAGAAGTAGTGACTCCAATGACTGCGGTGAAGAGGGTGCACTGACGAGATGCTGGATGAAGAACTCATACTTCTAGTTATAAAGGAGGAATAGGTTAAAAATATTTTCTTCAGCATGCTCACTATAACTAGTGGTAACATATTCTTTCTCTAAAAATATTCGAATACAGTGCAGGTCAAGTTTTTTCACAACAAAAATGACAACTATGTGAGGTCACACATATGTTGATTGGCTGGATGTATCCAATGCATAATGTATATGACCTGTTGAACATCACGCCTTAAGTTGTAAATATGTATCATTTCATATGACATTTTTTAAACAAACATACAATTTTTAAAATGCCTTAACAAAATAAATGCAAATAAAATATTTTATTATAAAGCAGTGCTTTTCTTTTCTAGCAAAGTCTTTTTCATGACACAGGAAAGAATGCAAGCCGTTTCGTAACTTGAGAAATAAATACATATGTGTACATGTATATATATACGTATATACATGTATATACGTATATAAATGTGCATATATACGTATATACATGTATATACGTATATATGTGTGTACATAGGTATTCTTATATAGGTGTATATATATATGAAAATCCCAATGAATGCTGATGATGAGTTGAAAGATAGAAATTCCAGGCACAGAGGCTATAGTCCATGAATTGAAACCTTCAGTGCATGTTTCAAAACAAGACGTGAGGAGGAGGAAGAAAAAAGCAAAAAACACAAAGCCATGGCAGGGCCATGGGTCACACCTGTCATCCCAGCACTTTGATAAGCTGAGGTGGGAGGATTGCCTGCACTCAGGAGTTCCAGATGAGCCTGGGGCAACATGGACCCACATTCAAAAAGTAAGTATTTAGTTAATTAATACATAGCTTGGAGGGGTGGCATGCACCTGTACTGCCAGGTGTGTGAGAGTCTGAGTTGACAGGATCACATGGGTGTGTGGTGCCTGGGCTGCAGTGGGCTGAGATCGTGGGGCTGCTGTCCAACCTAGAAGACAGAGTAAGACCCATTCTCGGAAAACAAACAAAAAAACAGTCACATTAGGTAAATTAAAACTATGTAGTGTGAGGAGAATCAAAATAAACGAAACATCATTAGAGCCTACGCGATGTGATGAAGGAAACCAGCTTTCACATAATAACAGCCCCGGCTGGGGAGAACAATGAGAAAGGGCAGAGAGAACCCTGTAAATAATACCACGCCAAATTCCCCAAATGAGTTAAAACACATAAAAGTACGAAGAGTGCTTCTTTTCAATTCAATGCCCTTGAATTCAGAATTAGAAAGTAAACCCAGATAGAGAATAGAAACATAGACGATACAGATGGAGAGAGTGTGGTGGGGAAGCAAGGGAAGGATGAAAGGAGGGGTGTAAAGGAAGGAAAAGAAAAAAGGAAGGGAGAGAGAGTGACAGATGTTCAAAGACACAGATACAAAGTCTACAATGGTTGTAGAGATAGGCATGTGCAAATTGTCGCAGGGAGTGTGGAAAAATATCGGAACCACGGAGACATAGGTGGAGTCAGAGAAAATATACAAACCCGCACAGAGAAATAAACATACGCAACCACAAACACACACGTGCTACTGTAAACACGAAAAGACACCAAGTCCCTGTCGGTACAAATCACAGATGTGCTTCCGAGTTACTGAGGCACGGTGCAAATTTGTCAGTGCCCTTAGCATCTGTGGCCCACGTGCACGGATATTCAGTGGAAGAAGCATTACACAGCCTGTATAATTCAGCACGATCTGTGATAATACCAGAAGAAGGGATCTCATGTGAAATCACTAGACTGAATTGCACGTAGGATTCAAGCAAGAAGCCCAGTCTGCTGCATCGACTCCGTGGGGTGGCAATATGGCTGAGCCACCAACCCATGGCACGCCCATCCATCGTAGACAGTTCCTGGTTTGCTACCTGCCTTGGAAAAACCTCCTCCCCTACCACCACTTTAAAAAAGGCTAGCTCCAAAACTAGCCCTGGCATCTATTTACGGTCATTTTCTTATCTATTTACCTCCTAGAAAAATCATTGCAAGACCCTTTCCTCAACATTTTCCTATGCCTTAAATTTGGGGCAACACGTTTTAAGACGACCTCGTTATAGGCAAGTCCCCAGACGTTTCCTAATCTGAGTTGCCCAGAGTGCACACACCAATCTGTTGCCCCATTGCCGCTATAGGGATACCGTACTGGACCACAGTGTCTTTGACATGCACACAGTAGGATAGAGGGCAGCTTGAGGGGGCCAAAGTGTTCCGACTGTTTTCAGAATAATTTGCTTAGAACACCTGTTTCTCCTGTGTTTGTGGGTCAGGGGGACGGTAGTCAGAGGAGGACAAGACTCCCGCTCCAGAGCTTCAGAGGTCTGCATAGGAGCAGGGACAAAACCGGGCGATAGATTTTCAAAGCTCAACTGCTTTGACACCGAGCAGGAGGGGTAGAATGCATATTGCAGGCACCACAACAGATTCAGGAACTTTGACTGTCAAACCCTCTTCCCTGAAACAACATAGCTCTTCTCACAGAAGCTGTGCTGACCGGAGTCTATACGGGACAGCAATGTTAGCACTCTAGTAGCGTGTGGTCAACATGGATGCTCGTGTTGGAACTGTTTCATCTGGGAACAGGAAAGAAAGTTCTGCCTCCGACACTGAAATCCTCCTGCCCCATCCTTGACAGAGGCAACCCCTTGTCTTGTGCAGACACACGTGTTCCTGGGAAGCAGCCTCCCACTCGCGAATGAAAGCTGTATGTTTTGTCCTCCTGTGTGAGGCTTGCAAAACATATTCCGCAACTATATTCGCTTTACGTTCTAAACCTTAGGCAAACTATGCTGAAGAGGCCACAGAAAATTTAGGGGCCCTGGGTCCAGATACAATCTGCAGTGCCAATCACGAGGGAGAATAGAGCCTCACTAGACTTTGCAAGAGCACAAAATGCACTCGTACTGTTGTTAGCTACATACGTTATTGGCTCCTCACCTAACACAGAATCTTGGAGAAAAGCTTAAAACAACTAAAGATGTAAACATCAACAAGAGTGTCCATATCCTGGGTCATCAAGTGACAAGAGAGTCCATGGATGGATTCTCCAACAATCTTATATTCCACTAATCCACCCCCTTTCCCCTCACTTCTGTAAGTTTCTGTTTTCCCTTAGTCATCTCTGCCAAAAGCGTATCCTGAATGCCTTCCCACATGCCTCTGTCACCTTTCCCACAGTCCCTCCATACACCTTACATGCCCATTTCTTCTCACGTTGATGTTTCAGAAGTCCTGAGAGGCTGATTGTCCCAGAAAAGGATCATGCATTCACCTTTAAAAGAACATGTGGATTCAACACGAAAGCGAACTTTAAGATTTCCATCATCCTGTGCTTAGCTACTGTGTATGATGATACCCAAAATGAAGGATTTTGGAGGTCCCAGCAAACTGGGCCCTGGAAACCCAGTAACCCCTTTCCTTGAACTATCTCTGCTTCCATAGGACGAAGTCAGCCTCCAACTAAGCTGTCTTTTGCTTTTACCTCTCCCACTCTGTCCTGTAGGAAGAATCCCAACACATCCCACACCCATTCACTCTACAACTTTAGAGGCCCAGCTCCAACGCAGACTGGTTATTTCCATGAAGAGAATAAAGCACGTGGATTGATCAATTCATTATGACACCCGAATAAAGTGGATAAACATACACACACAGACACACACACACAAACACAAAGACACACACACACACACAGACACAGAGTCACACATCCTTGAGAATGTTTATTTTTCATTCCATACAATCCACATTTACCCCCTCTTCCTGAATTTTTGTGACTCGATCTCTTTTTCCTTTAGTTCCTGTGCATAAGACCATGCTGAGTACTGCCGTCCTGCATATGGCTGTAACTTTTTAGGAGTTCTGCTGTATTAGGTAAAATCTGATGCTCCATCATATTCAACTCAACAACTGGGAGTCCCCTAGAGAAACACAAACTCATGTTAAAACGCATTTTCTCTGAGCCATACTTTGAAATGTTTCAATTGTGGGGCCCGCTGAGAAAAGGATATCCCTTCCCCATTTGTGATCCCTTAAACTTCCTCCTACCACGTGTTACAAACTGTTCTGCGCAATCCCTGCCCCATTCCCAGTATTGTCTGTGAGGGGAGTCAGCTAACAAGATGCACTGGGCCCTAAAAGCACACACAAGTCTGATGGGGCAACAGCTTAAGGAAATCCATCAATCTAAACAGTCCTTTGTGGTTTGGGGCAAGGATGACCAGGACGCACATTCAGGGAGCCCAATCTCATGGGGTTGGTGGGATGACTGCCGGTGGGGTTGACAGCCGTGGAATCAAGTGCCACAGACTGAACTGAATGATTTTCAGCTTTACTTCTCATTGATTCTGGAAATGGACGATTCTTCACTGGGCTTAAGACTCCACAGCTATCACCCGCTTTGCAGTGCAGTCTCTAACGTGCCTTTTCAGCCCAATGCCATGAACGTCCTGGATTCTGTCACTCTCTGTCTTCCTCTCAAGGAATTTCTACATGTACGAAAGGAGCCTCAATTTCTACATTTCTGAAATGAGCACCCAGGCTCCCTGAATAGGCAGGTGTGTCAACCCCCTTATACTGGGCATCAAACAGCTCCAGTGCCAACTAACGGCTCACCTGACGTCTCTGTTCCCTCTTCAGGTGGCTTCATCCTCTTGTAGTATTGCAGGGGATTGCGCCACAGGTCCTTACATAGGATCTGTCAGGGGACTCAATCGGGAAAGGCCTCATCAGGGCTCAGAAAGGTGACCCAAGCAGCTGGGAACACACGGGGTCATTCCTCATGTTTCCCAGTGAGGACTCACCTCAGCAATCTTGTTAGATCCTGCGAAGTTGTGGTCAGAGAACCAGTTGAAGAAGTTAAGGCTGCTGTTGTGGTGTCTGCGGCGATAGGCCTCCACTTCATAATCCGGATACCACTCAATTGGAGTGGAATGAGAAGCCCTGTATTCTACAGAGACAGGAGTTTTTGTGGGAAGGGGGCTGGATCCCGTTGGCAATGATCCACCCACCATCTTCCTTCCACTACCCATCCTGGGAGCCACCTGTCACCTGTGATGTTCACCAGATATTCCTTGGTAATCACTTTATTCTGGAAGTAGGGGTTACTCCGAAAGAACAACATGATCTTGCAGAGATGAACAGGATGCTTCTCTTCTCCCACCTGTCAGGACAAGGTGGAGAAAGCTTAGATAGGTTTTCGGGTGAGGTGCTCACTCTTGCTTACAGGAATGAATTATTTCCCTTACCCTCCCCCGCTAAACCCTCTAGCCCCAGTCTTCCTGGCCTCACCTCCAGGCTGACCATGTAGCTCAGCATGTCTTCATCTTCGTCAGTGATCAGGGCTGACATCTGGGGGTGGTTTGCAATCTGATTTAGGTCAAAGAGACTTTACACACGATGGAAGGGAAAGCGAGGAGCAACAGGGAAGAAGGCCTAAGAGCACCCAGAGGCTGGGGTAGGGGATTTCTCAGATCTGCTTCCATGTATGATCTCCTTTCGCCTCCCCGTCCCCGTAAACTAAGGCCTCCTGTGTTCACAGAGGGTGTATGATTCTGAGGCTGACTGCACTGACATGGGGAGGCGCGATTTGCAGAGACTTGCTGGTGTCTGAGGAGTGGCAGAATCTGCTTATAGCCGAAGACGCCCAGTCCCAGATCGGACTAGCAAGGGGCAGCAATCACACTCCCTTAAAAATAGCTTCATTCACTGAAAAACCTCTTCCGCTCTGAACTCGCTTCTGCTCTTCAAAAAGATGCCCCAAACGTCTGCTGCTCGGCATCACCAAGGGTTTCTCTGCCGCATGCAGGACAATAGTACCCACGCCTGCTCCGGCTTTCCACAGCCACACTGGTCCGTGGCAACTCCCCTTTGTTCCCCAAAGAGTCACATCGACGCCGAGCTGCCCATCGGTCACTTACACTTCCCCGAGAGCACCTCTCCACTAGAAAGGCCGAAGAAACACTGAGAAGGATACAACATTGGCCCAGAAGCCAGGGACGCTCTGGATGACGGCGCCTCTGCGGTCTAGCTGGGGCTTGCGCCTCCGCTCCATCTTTTCCCGCTGCCGAGAAAAGGCCTTCCTGGCTTGGGCATTAACCGGCTCCAGCTCCACCTGAACGGCCAGCAGCTCCTCCAGTGCAGACTCTGGGGTCATGGGCCCAGGGCCAGGCACAGCCTGCTGTGCCCGCTGGGCCTCCTCCCGCCGCTCCACGAGGCCCTCCTCCTCCGCCACCACCTCCACCTCCGCCACCACCTCCACCTCCGCCATTATGTCATCCAACAGCAGCACCGCCTCCTCCCCCAAAGCCGCCTGCTCACTCTCCACCCCGGCCGCCCCCTCCTGTACAGCCTCCATCCTGAAGGCGGTGCCCTCCTTGGCACTCGCACACACCAAGGCCTGTGCTGCCCGACCCACGCCACAGAAACCCTGCCGCAGCCTCTCTGGCACCCGGTAGGTCAGCGAGCCCTCAGGGCGCATGCGCCGGGCTTCCAGGCGCCCCCTAAGGGACTGCGCGCGAAGGGCCGGGGGGCCGCACCCAGGCCGACTTCCTCCCGTCGTGGCCAGTCAATGGGAGGGCGGTGGGCGTCTCCCTGGGCGGCACAGCCACTGGCGGGCCTGCATCTCCAGCCCCCCCACCCCCCGCCTTCCCTGCCCAAGCCTCCTCCGAGAAGCCCTTGGAGCTTGTGCCGGGTAGCTAGGCATCCGGGCACACGCGGGCTGCGTGGCCTTTGGAATTGTGGGCATGGCAGCCCTGTGCCCTGACATCCTCAGTGTGGCAAGCCATGAACATCTCTATGTGTCATGAACACAGGAAACATCTCTCTTCGTTAGGCAGGCCAGGTAGATGGTACGGAGGTAATACAGCAGATGCAGAGAACTCTCTCTGGTTGCTGGGGCTAGGGCGGCAGGGGTGTCCTGGGGGAAGTGATCGGGGCGGGCACGTGGGAGGAAAGTCGCCTGCCGGTGCTGAGGTGGAATTGATCTGCTGTAGAGGCCAGAGCCCCGGCACACACTCTCACAGGTCGAGGCAAATAGAGGCTCCGAGTACCATGCTTCCTCCCTGAGGATGCTGTACTCCAAGGAGCATTCCAAAGGGCCTCTTGTCCTATGCCCTGGGCACACCAGAGGCCAGCCGCCAGGGTTGGCCATTGTCGGCCTGCACGCACGCTGTTGTGCGCTGCCTTGACGACCCAGAGGCTCCCGCACCCGCAGCAGCGGTTGCGGTGCCTGTTGGTGGGGCTCTGCAAGCCCAGGGCCGGGGCCTCTGGCTCCCGAGCTCCTGTGCGCAGTTGAGCCTGCTGGGGACCGGAGCCCTTTGGCCAGTGCGGGATCTGCGGGTCCAGCGGAGCTCCTCAGGAAACCTGGGTCCACGTAGGTGTGGGACCAGGTTCACAGCAGGGCGACGCCCGTGGGTCTTGCAGGGAGCGGGTCTGCTGGGGAGCGGGCCCCCAGAGCCTACGGGTGCGGGGCATGGGCTGGGCTGGGCTGGGCTGCGCAGGCCCAGGGTCTGTGGGAGCACCCAGGAGAAAACCGTGTTCAGGCTGGAGGCAATGCTGGAGAGGACGGCCGGGGTACAGAGCAAGGAGGCGGCCTTGGAAGAGGAGGCGGTGCTGAAGGTGGAAGACATCATGGCTGAGGTGGAGGTGGTGGTTGAGGTGGAGCCCGACGTGGGGTGGCAGAAGGAGGGCCAGCGGGCACAGCCTGGCCCTGGACCGAGCACACCGGGGCCGTCAATGGACTCGCTGGAGGTCCTTCACTTGGAGCTGGGCTCCGTGAATGCCCCAGGCCACAGAGCATCTCCGCCTTGTGAGCCAGAGCCATATCCTTGCGGCTGCCGATTTGGGATGGCGGGCAGCAGGGGATAGTCATCGGGCCTCGGGGGGTATGGGGGCTGTTTGCGGGGAGGAGCCAGGTGGGAGGCACGTGGGGTCAGCCAGGAGGCAGGGGATGGGGGACAGCGTGGGAGCCGAGGCCACGTTCCCGCAGCTGTGAGGGCAGCTCGCTTGTAGCAGCCCTGGGAGCACGTGGTAGGGAAGGGGAGCCAGGGCCAGCACTGACAAGGGAGAATCGCGGCGCCAAGGTCCCTTTGCGCACAGCCCAAATTCGAAGGACGCGTTTCCCTGGGAACGTCCCTGGAGGACGGGGAATCTGTATGCCATTACCAGCCATTGAACCACCCCTGCTCTCGGTGCCTGTTTCCAGCAGGCTCACCCCAGAAACGCAAGGTGCTTAAGACGGGTTCGCGGCGCATGGGGCTGCCGACCACCTGACGGCGGGCACCAGCTCCGCAGATGCGCATTCATCCAACTGCAGGCGCTGCACTCAAAGGCGTGTAGGCCCTGAGCCTGTATAACTTCCTCTGGACCCACGCAATTCCCTTGGAGAGCGCCAGGCACGACCCTGCTGTGGCTTCTAACTACAAGGCTTCCCTCAGGTGGACAGGCCCACCCCTCAGGGAGACTAGGATAAGAGGACACCACACACCCGGACATCAGCGGAGCATGTCCAGCACCCAGCACACAAAGGCCTCCTGCATCTCAGAAACCCAGAGAAGCAGCCGCCTCACACCACCCCCGGTCCCTCCCGTCCCTCAGCTGCAACCACCTGCCCACTTTTTCTGCCTCCCGTCTCTGGTCAGCCCAGGCCGTCTTGGCCGGGGTCCACCCACTCCAAAAACCACCACAGTTGTGGCGTTGCCTCCTCGCCAGACAGAGATAGAGGGCCAACAATGAAGGGTGACTGGCCAAATGTCTGGGAGATGGCCCTGTTCCACATTGTCTGTGTTCTTGCGAAATTGCAAGGCGTCACGAGGCTTGCCCACCCAATCCTCTGGAGAGTTCTTGCGCAGAGGTAGATTGTTTGGCACACGAGATGTCGGCGTGGGTCGGAAAGCATGCGGAAGTCCTGCTTTGCTACGTGATGGATTTGCAGGTCAGGCTGGGGAGCCTGGGTCTGTGGGAGGAGTCCAGTGTCTGAGTCAGTTTGAGGTCCCCCTGGGGACCAGGGTTGTCTCAGTGGGAGAGCTGGGAAGGGGAAACTCATGGTTCACTACAGCTAGTAGGCCACCTCAGCCCGGCTAGTTGAGATGGTCCCATTGAATCCATCCTCTTTCTCCTTGATCCGGCAGGTGGAGGAACTCAGCCATCCCGGTTACCGGTGGCAGGATGATTTCCTTTCATCCCAACCTTTATTTCCACAGTGAAATCATCATGAAGGAGCACTGTGTTGGCATCCTCGGTAAGGAATGCCTCCCAGCATGGTAGGGGAGCTGGTGTGTGGGAGGGTGGGACTGGCATGAACCTTCCTGACTCCTCTCCCTGCAGGCTACAGGGTGTCTCATTCCACTGCAGTCCAGCGGTTCTGGGATCACGAAGGTCAAGCCTCCAGCTGCAGGCAGTACACCTCCTACCTGAGCTCATTCAGCTGTTTGGCTGAACATGACTGCCCGGGTTTTGGCAGGATTGCTGAGGTGGGGTTCGCCGTGGGGCATCATGGGAAAGGACCTAGCTGGTCATTCCTTGGTCTCTGGGGAATTGGCTTTGAACTGTCACCTGAACTGTCCTGGACCCACTTCTGCAGTCACCTAGATCATCAGCCAGGGCCTATGGCTCAATCCATTGCAGTTCTATCCCATGGAGAGAGGGTCAGCCCTAGAGGCGGAACAGAGAGGAGGCCAGGCGAGCAGCCTAGGGCTGGGAAGGGCTGGGAACTGAGAGGCCTTTTGACCTGGATCTGGGCCCCACATGGAGAACCCAAGGATCCGGGAGGAGACTGCAGTGAGCAATCCCAGGCAATCCGTGGGTTGGGGGAGAGAGGCCCATCAGGGACATGTAACACCCACATTTCAGGATCGGGGCACCTTAAGCCACTATGATGCATATGTGGCTAAAGTCAGTGGGTGACAAGCAGGGCTTAAGGGATAGCTGTCTCATCATTACTCGCCAGCTCCCTGCCCTGCGGTAAGACCTGCTACCACCTGGGGCTCATTTTGAGATCAACCAGGGCCCCCTTTTTCTCCACGAGGATGTCCACCTGAGGCCCACCTAGGTCTGTGTCCTTTCACAGTGTTTCTCCCAGGCCAGTCATGTTTTGTTTCCATGACCCCGGCTGCCTTGACATGTGTAATCCTCTCTGCCATCCTCACTCCCGCTGCCCTGCCTTCCCATATAAGTTAGTCCACCTCACACGGAATCTGGAGGACCACACTGGGCTCCAGTGTGAGGCAATGTTTTATTTTCTTCAGGTACATGTATTTTAGGGCTACCTCCAGGGCTGGGAATGTGAAGAGATTGCCAAATGGCTGGGGACCTTCAGTGTGTGTCCAGGGAGGGAACCCGGCTGGGAATTAAGGCCCACCTGAGTAATGGTATGGACATCCAGTGTCAGTTATCTTGATAAAGGCCTGCTTTCTTACATCACCTACTATTAATATAAAAGTTAATTCCTTAGAATATTGAAAAAACAAATCTATGTATGAAGAAATATAATTTGTTCATAATTGTATGGAAAAAGCTGCCGACCGATCCATTTTCCATTACAATTCTTATGGGAGACTTGAAGGGTTTAGCAAGTTTTAAGATGCATTTCTATTCGTCTACTCCTGCCAGTTTTTATGATCATTTTTGTAATACAAGGACATGGCCTCTGGAAAGTTTTTGAGGGACTTTCAGCTTCTTTTAGGGTAGATACTTGTAAATTTTGAATTGTTTTCCCCTGCGGTTCTTTTGAGGTTACTCTTTGTACTTTCTTTGGGGGGTGTTAAATTTGTTTTCTTGTTTTGCCCTTGTGGAACTTTCGTTTTCAAGGAATTGTGTGTGTGTGTGTGTGTGTGTGTGTGTGTGTGTGTGTGTTAGATATGGGAGTTAGCCTGTGAGCATGTTTTCGAATATGGATTTTTTTTTTACTTATCAATTTTGGGGGTGTGTGTGTGTGTGTGTGTGTGTGTGTGTGTTTGTTTCTTTTCAGTTGGAGTCTCACTGTGTCATCCAGGCTGCAGTCAAGTGGCAAACTCTCAGATCACTGCAACCTCTCCCTCCAGCTTCAAAGGATTCCTCTGCCTGCTGATGCTGCTTTTCCCCCACATGAGGAGAACATGCAGACAGTTATAAAAAATTCTGTGCCTGGGTAGGTATGAAAATATAATTTCAATGAATGGTAAATTTCACAAATACAGTTTCACATTTGTATTTTGCAACATTTTGAAAATTTTAGTTGCTGACACATGAAATTCTGTGTTGACTTTCATGTTAAATGTACACTTTTGAATCAATTTCAACAGTGACAACTAGCGAAGGCCAAGCGTTAGTTCAGGAAGCTGAAAGCAGTCGTTCTGTAAAAAAAACCATATTTATTGAAGGTATATTTAGAGAGATTTTAGAAGGCTTCAGTCAATATTTTTGTTTCTGTTGCTCTGGTGTTTTATCATACAGGGACCAGACTGTAGCATCAGTAGCTATAGTTACAAGGCTACCAAAGACTCAGTGCTATAGAAATTATTATTGTGGAAATTGGCAGCCTGGCTGTCTGTTTGAGGAGACTAGAGGACTTAGGAGTTTCCACCCAAAGTACAAGGGCCTGGTTTAGTGGGTGGCCTTCTTTTGCTGAAGTAGATAAGATCCAGGAGAAGGGTGGATTCACTGTAGTAGCCAGGGCTTTGAGACTGGTAAAGCTTATTTGTCTCCTAGTGCCATTGCCAGATATTGGTCTGTGCATAAAGGCACTTCCCGGACTCGCTGACTCCTGTAAATTCAAATGTAGAATTTAGATTTAAATCCCTATTCCAACTTCTTAAACTTAGATCTAATAGGTGGGTAATAAAATATGTATTCAGAAGAAAGGGAGACGTCAGGTAGGTATATAAGCAAATCATCCTGGTCAAATACCTTCAAAAATATTACTACAAAAAATTACTGAAGATTAAACCTTAAAAAAGTTATTTTAATTGGAGAAACAGAAAAAGGTTGGAGTCATTTTAAACCCTGAGGTGTAAAGGTACTGTTATTAGATTACAGGAATTATATACAATGAATAATTTGTGGGAAGAGCAGCATACTATCTCTTTAGTATGGCTAGAGATTCATAAGCCGTGTAAGAAAACTCAGAGATTGAGAAGAAAATGTTTTCAGGGATTTTGTTCTGTTATGAAAGACTTTTAAAATGGTTTCCTACTGATCAATGATTCACTTATATTTATCACTGAGGCATATGCTATATACCCTTCTATATAGGGATGAAGTTATAGTTTCTATCATGTAGATACAAAAACATGTGACTCTGTACCACATTTGCATTAGAGCCTTTGGCATGATTAATGAAGCAAACGGTGGAACTGTCTACGTCAGGTTACAGGTGGGCACAGCTGGAAGCTTCCGTCCCTTGCACTTTAACATTTCTGCATTCTCATCTGTCTCTCCTGGAAAGAAAACGGACTATAACTATCCTAAAGGACATATGTTACATGAAGACACTAAGTATTGAGATAAGACCATGAGTTGTCTTATCAGTGTCTTGGCATTACATTTATATGTATAACTTATACAAAAAATCCAGTTTATTTTATCACGATTACATATTACATCCCACATTTATGTATTTTATTATCTTTCCAGTGACTGTTTTGTTTTGTTTTGTTTTGTTTTGTTTTGAAATCTCGTTCCACTCTGTCACTCAGTCTGGAATGCAGTGGCCTGATCTCAGCTCACTGCAACCTCCATCTCTTGGGTTCAAGGATTTTAAAAATTAGTAAAGAATTTTCAATTGAGTTAGCAGAAGTAAAAATAAACTTAAGTGGAAATAGAACAACAAAATTGTAAACACTATTTCTCAGCAATTCATAGATTATCATACTAGGAATTGAAATGTACTTAGAACTCAATGATACCGCCAATATTAAAGATTAAATCTGTGAGTAGCAAGAAAAGTGATATTACAATAGGAGTTTACAGACAAATATTTCTCTAATAACTTGAAAATTAATGTACTAGATATTTCAATAAAGAATTAGAAAAGAAACAACAGAATCAATTCTGAAAAACTAAAGTGTGGGAATAATGATGTAGACAAAATTAGTAAAACATACAAAGCTAACCTTTGCTTGTTGGAGAAATATAATAAATGATGCAACCGTCAGTCAAGTTTAGAAAAAAAGGGAGAAAACATAGATAAAACTAAGAATTTAAAAGGTACACAACCATAGATACAGCATAGATTAAGAAGCTAATAAGGAAATATCGTTAACACCTTAACCTACAAATTTGAAAACTTAGATCAAATAGACAGATATTTATAATCTGTCTATATATATAGACATATATATCGCTTTCTATATATATTTTCATATTTATACATAATTTTTATATTTGTATCTTACATTTATATATATAATATATAAACATAAGCTATGTATATAGCTTAGTAAAATTGATACAAGAAGACATATATAATCTGTATAGTCTCATAAATGTTCAAGGAAATAAAGGATTCTTCCTAGAGATAAAACGCTAGGCTCAGATTTTTTTCCCCAGGCAGAGCATTTCAATATATATGAAGAATTCTATAGAATAAAAAAGGGAAAATCCTAAACTCATTGTGTGAAGCAAGCAGAACTTTGACGCCAACAAGCCATAAACTGAGTGTAGAAAAAGATATGAAAATTAAGGCCATTCTCATTCCTGAAGCAAATCGTAAAATCCCAAATGTAACAAGATTTATGTGGATTCTTTGAGGGTTAGAAGGAAATTTCCTTCTGCCAGATCCTGCTACTCTGGGACAACCCACACACAAATTTATGTTTTGAGGTTTTCTGTAATACCCATGCAATATGGAACTGGCTTGACAATCTGTGTGATAGCCAGCCTGTGGCCATGACTTCTCAGGGACACAAATCTTTTCTGTTTGCCTCCTTGTTCTGCTCAGCTCCAAGAGAACTTTGACCAAAGTTCCTTGAGCTTGGAAATAGGAATGGGTTTGCTTCTGTTTCACCCTTACTGTGAAGATACAGTCCGGTGGAATCCAGATCCACTGGGAGAGAGTCGGCTATTAAACTCTTTTCATGAGTAGTCCCTAGGCCTTGACTGGAGTCTTTCTTGAGATATGAGGCTAATAGTTCCTTCTTGGTCCACCACTTTTTGATATAATTAATGCTTCTTCTATTGGGAATTTTTAATTGTTTGGGAAGTGACATGGTTTGGTGTGTCTCCATTCAAATCTCAGCTTCAATTGTATCTCCCAGAATTCCCTCGTGTTGCGGGTGGGACCCAGGGGGAGGTAATTGAATCATGGGGGTCGGTCTTTCTCATGCTATTCTTGTGACAGTGAAGAAGTCTCACGGGATCTGATGGGTTTTTCAGGGGTTTCTGCCTCAGGTTCTTCCTCATTCTCTCTTGGCATTGCCATGTAAGAAGTGCCTTTATTCGTATACCATGATTCTGAGGCCTCCACAGCCATGTGGAACTGTCAGTCCAATTAAACCTCCTTTTATTCCCAGTTTCAGGTATCTCTTCTTCAGCAGCGTGAAAATGAACTAAGACAGGAGGTTTGGTCCAAATAACCTTGGCTTCCATGATAGAAGATAGAAGTTGCTGAAATGTTTAATCTTTTCTGTGGCAACCTTTTGCAGTGGGTCTTATTTTTCTCATTTTTTTTTCTTGTTCTCTTCACCTTTGTTTCTCACAGGGTACTCTCGCTCTGTAGACCAGGCTGGAGCGCAGTGGCAGGATCTCAGCTCAACACATCCTCCGCCTCCCAGGTTCAGCCTCTGCAGTAGCTGGGATTACAAGCATGCATCACCACGCTCAGCTAATGTTTTGTATTTTTAGTAGAAGCCAGGCTTCACCATGTTGGCCAGGCTGCTCTCCTACTACAGATCTCAGGTGACCCGCCCGACTCAGCTTCCCAAAATCCAAAGTGCTGGGAATACAGGTGTGAGCCACCGAGCCCAGCCAACTCCAGTACTTTTTACCTAAGCCAGTGGACGAGTGGAGTTGCCTTTATTTTTTTTTTTCTTTTTTCAGTCATGGTCTCGCTGTGTCATCCAGGCTGGAAGGCAGTAGTCTGATCTTGGCTTACTATACAATCTCTGCCACCCATGTTCAGGTGGTTCTCCTACCTCAGCCTCCCAAGTAGCTGGGACCACAGGAAAGTGCCACTAGTTCTGGCTAATTTTTGTATTTTTGGTAGAGACAGCTTTTTGCCATGTTGCCCATGCTGGTCTCCAACTCCTGACCTCAAGTGACCCACCAACCTCGGCCTCCCAAAATGTAGAAATTACAACAAGAGCCACGAAGCCTGGCCTGGAGTTGTGGCTTTTTGACATAAGAAATCTGTGGAGGGAAAAGCTTGGTTTGTGGGAGCACCTGAGCTCAGTTTGGCTCAAAGGTTTGGGATACCTATTATTGAGTGGCAGTGATGGTATGTTGTTAATGTACAATATCTTCCTGTATATAGCATACGTCTATGCTCATCAGATATTTTCAGGTAAAAAAAGATAGTCTTTCCAGTAGTTTGAGCCATTATAGCAATTTCCACCAGGGGATTTCAAAGTCCAATTCCAGTTGTGGGCAACAGTGATTAACATAATGGTAATTAATGAGAAGAGATTTTGAGACGTCCAGCCACGTTTCCATGTCAGTGCCTTGTTTGCAGTATTATGAAGAAAGAGTGCATTGGACTAGATACTAAGAAAAACATTGAATTATTTTTCTTGCCTCTATAACATCAAAGGACAATTAGAGATATAGAAACTATGGAACATTTCACAGCATGGCTTGACATTTCACTGAACTTTTATCCTTTTAACCATGTACAAAGTTTGTTACCTATGCAAAGGTAGGACTGCAAAAGGAAGACAGAGGTGGAGTCAGAGGTCACAATCCACAGCAAGGTGACACTCTTGTTGATCGCACCTTGAAAGCCAAATTAGAGCGAGAATTAACTTTCCGGTTGCCGTAAGAGAACAAGGAGAATGAAGCTACCAGCAGTTAACAGTATTGGATTAATTGAAATGAAGGTGGACAGAGTTTTTTGGCTTTCCATCAAATTGAGTAAAGAAAAGGTAACCGCTTATCTAATTTCACACACATACAATTATGGATTAATTAAAAGATTACACAACCCATATATTATGGGTTTCTCATATAAGTGTATATATACATGGGCAAACTCACAGTGTGCCAGTATGTGTCTATATCCAAATATATACAAATCCATGTCCAACAGTTAGCAAGTGAGAAATTCTCTTCCATTTCACCATTCCCTTTCCTAGAATTTTTTCATAAATATAATTTTTCCATATATTTGAAGCCTACTCTCTGGAGGCATGTAATGCATGCATGCAGTAAACCTGTGCGATATCACAATGTTGGTGTCAGAGAAAACTATAACACCGATGTTATAAAAGATTAATTGTGAGGAGAAAGTTATGCTTCGCATTACTACAAATACACAAGTATGATTTCATCCAAAGCTGAAATCAGTCAATATAATTTGTTTTTAATGTTTTATTTAAAATCCTTAATTTCAACAGGATTACTCAAGAAAAATAACGTTATTGGTATTAAATAATGTTGACGTATTCCCTTTAATTGTTGATTATTTAAAATGTCAGTAAAATAGTAAATGGCACTGTACAATGTAGTTTCATGAAGCATTCTTTATAGTTTTCATAAAATTGATAGTCTCCATGGAATATTTTAAGACTGAGGAAGTTCCATATATCATTTGATTGTACTTTCACTTTATTACTTGCTTGCATGTCATAACTGATGGAAATAAAACTATGTATATTTACAAATATGAAAAACATGGACTTTTGTTTACGTTTTCTAGTGAGACACAGTTACCAATAATTTTATCTATATAGGAAAATTTTTACAAACCCAAAGTTCTAATGTTTCTTTTCTTTGAAGTTTCGTATTTCAGTCTAGGTATGTAATGGAATTGGCTGTGATCATTCTTTGATTTCACTGTTATTTGTGAGTTTCTGATATGCTTTTAGGAATGTATAGAGCTTAACGCTTGCTTTCTTCTTCTTCCTCTACCTTTGGACCTGTATATGCGATGTCTGCAGTAATGTGCAGTGCTATCTGACATACGGTTGCTGAAAGATACAAGCATATATAGAATTCTTCGTTTCAGTGAATCTTTAGGAACAGACAAGTAACCTGAGAGATAATTACGGTATGAATGTAAGCAAGCAGTTTATCATAGAGGTACAATAAGGGTGAAAATAAATTTAAAAATACATGCCTCATCCAAAACATGAGGTAGTAAAAATGAAAAATTTAAGTTGGCATAAAGAACACTTTAAAAGTTCTGATTCTTTCTGGTGAGAGCAAGGAGCTCAGAAACCATGAGAAAGTCCTTCAAAGCTGCATGTTGGATTTGCAGGTCAGGATGGAAAGCCTGGGTCTGGGGGAGGGTGCTAAGGTCCTGGTCAGGTTGAGGTCCTTCTGGGGCTCAGGTGTGTCTCAGCGGGAAAGCTGGGAAGGGGAAACGCATGCTTCACCCCGGCTAGAATGCCACCTCAGCCCACCTAGATGAAATTGCCCCTTCACAGCCCTGTTTCTCCTTCTTGGACAGGCAGGTGGAGGAACTCGGCCACCCTGAATACAAGGGGTAGGAAGAAGTTTGCCTTTCATCACAACATTTACTTCGGAAACAAAGTGACGACTAAGGAGTATTGCGTTGGCATCCTCCCTGAGGAGTAGAGGGGGTAGTACCTCGGAAGCTGGGCCTGGCGTGCGCCTTCCTGACTCGTCTCCCTCCAGGATACAGGGCGACTGGCTCCACTGCAGTCCAGTGGTTCTAGGGTCATGCAGGTGAAAGCCCGAGTTTCCCGCAGGTCACTGCCTGAGCTTCTTCAGCTGGTTGTCTGACTGTGAGGGCCCAGGTTACGGCACGATTGCTGAGGTGGGGCAGCTATGGGGCATCATGGCAAAGGACCTTCTTCGACATTCCTTGGCATCGGAGGAATTGGCTTTGAACCAGAACCTGACCTGTCACGACCAATTTGCCCAGTCCACCAGATCATCAGCCAGGGCCTGTGGCTCTATATTCTGCAGCACTACCCAAGGGAGTTAGGCCCTCAGAGAGGGAACAGAGAAGAGGCCAGGGAAGCAGCCCAGGGCTGGGGGTTGACAGGCCTGTGGGTCCTGGAGTTAGGACACACATAGAGAAGCCAAGGCTCAGGGAGGAGACTGCAGTAAGGAAACTCAGGCCATCATGGGCTGGTGGAGAAATGCCCATCAGGGAACTGTGGTACCCACATTTCACGATGGGGGAACCGTAATCTGCTTAATAGGCACAAGTAGCTAAGGTCAATGGGTGGGAAGCCAGGGTCAAGAGATAGCTCCCTCATCATCCCTTGCTAGCTACTTCCCTGTCCTGAGGCTTGCTTCTACCTGGGGTTCAGTTTGGGCTCAACCAGGGATCTCTCACCCTCCACACAGATGCCCACCTGAGGCCTCTCTAGGTCTGCGTCCTCCCAGAATGACTCTCCCAGGCCTGCTAAGTACCGTTTGGATGACACCACGCTCCACTGACATACTTGGTTCCCTCCGCCATCCTCATTCACCCAGCAACTCCCCACCCCAAAAAAGGCAGGCCACCGCACAGGGAATCTGGAGGACCACACAGGGCTCACAGGGGAGGAAATGTGAAGAGATGGCAAAACAGAACAGGACATTCCGTGTGTTTCCAGAAGGCAATCTGGCTGGATATTAAGGCCCACCTCAGTATTGGTGAGGACACCCAGTGTCTCTTGGCCCTGAGCTTGTGCACACAAACACGCACATTGTCTAAACGGCATTGACATCACTACTACCTGAGTCATCCTCAGATTCTATACAACCCCTGTAAAAATATCAATGACACATTCTTCTTAGAAAAACAATCTGGGAATCCCAAATTTGCTATGAAATGGCAGAAGATCCTGAAAACCCAGAGCAATCCAGTAAAAAGCACAAAGCTGGAGCCACCACACTACCTAACTTCATGATATACTACTACAAAACTTTTTGTACCAAAATACAATAGCACTGGCAGAAAAGCAGAGACTAGAGCTTAGGAAAAACAACAGGAGCCCAGAACTAAGTCACTGCATTTGCAGCTCACAGCCTTTTCCCAAAGAAGCAAGAACGCCCAATGCAAAATCAAGTATCTTCTATAAACTAGGTTGGGGAAATCTGAATAGCCACACAAAGGATTTTACAAGTGGATTATTTATCACCAAACTCCAGTGTCAGATGTGAAACGATAAAAATAGCAGAAGAGATCACAAGGAAGAAGCTCCATGGCGTCCGTGTGTGCAATGATGGTCTCAAAGTGACTGCAAGAACACAGTAAACACCATCAAAAATAGAGAATGGAATCATATCAAACTAAAGTGCTTCACCACACCATAGAAAACTCAACATACAGAAGGGGCATCCTACAGGATGGGAGCAATGATTGGATCACCATACATCTGTTCATGGGGGAATAGTCACAGTACATAAGGAACTCCCAACAACTCAATAGCATGAAAACAAATGGGCGAAGGCTGCGAAGACTCATTTGTGAAACTGAGACATACAGTTGCCCAGAAGACACACTAAAAATTCCTCATTATCCCCAATCCATCACGAAAATGCAAATCAAAAACACAATGAGATTTCTTCTCACTTCAGTCAGAATGCATATTATCCGAAAGACAAACAAACAAAAAAAAAAAAAGAAAGAAAAGAAAACCCTAATCTCTGGTGAGGAGGCAGAGAAAACGAATTCCCTGCTCACTTTTGGGGAGAATGTAAATTAGTGCTGGCATTAAAGAAGCTTTATGGCTCTTATTTAAGTATAAACAGCCTTCAGAAATCTACAAGTAGAACCACCCACTATATGATCCAGCAAATCAGAATACCCGGGCACGCCCGCCAGTACACAGATCAGTATGTTGAAGCGGTGCGCGCACCCATGCAATTATTGCTGCACTCATTACATTTTTGCTGTAGCCAAAATGCGGAAGCAACCTGAGAGTCCCTCCATTGATAAGTGGATTAAAAAATGGGGCAAAAACGCATATGCGCAACGGAAATATGCGCTGCAATAAGAAATCAGGAAATCCTGCCAGTTGTGAGAATGTGTGGGAATCTGCTGAATGTGTGCATGCCATTCTGTTAAGTGACATAAGCCAGGTATCAGAAAGGAAAATAGCACATGATCTCATTCTTATATGAAATCAAAAAAGCGGACTTCACAGAAGTAGTGACTCCAATGACTGCGGTGAAGAGGGTGCACTGACGAGATGCTGGATGAAGAACTCATACTTCTAGTTATAAAGGAGGAATAGGTTAAAAATATTTTCTTCAGCATGCTCACTATAACTAGTGGTAACATATTCTTTCTCTAAAAATATTCGAATACAGTGCAGGTCAAGTTTTTTCACAACAAAAATGACAACTATGTGAGGTCACACATATGTTGATTGGCTGGATGTATCCAATGCATAATGTATATGACCTGTTGAACATCACGCCTTAAGTTGTAAATATGTATCATTTCATATGACATTTTTTAAACAAACATACAATTTTTAAAATGCCTTAACAAAATAAATGCAAATAAAATATTTTATTATAAAGCAGTGCTTTTCTTTTCTAGCAAAGTCTTTTTCATGACACAGGAAAGAATGCAAGCCGTTTCGTAACTTGAGAAATAAATACATATGTGTACATGTATATATATACGTATATACATGTATATACGTATATAAATGTGCATATATACGTATATACATGTATATACGTATATATGTGTGTACATAGGTATTCTTATATAGGTGTATATATATATGAAAATCCCAATGAATGCTGATGATGAGTTGAAAGATAGAAATTCCAGGCACAGAGGCTATAGTCCATGAATTGAAACCTTCAGTGCATGTTTCAAAACAAGACGTGAGGAGGAGGAAGAAAAAAGCAAAAAACACAAAGCCATGGCAGGGCCATGGGTCACACCTGTCATCCCAGCACTTTGATAAGCTGAGGTGGGAGGATTGCCTGCACTCAGGAGTTCCAGATGAGCCTGGGGCAACATGGACCCACATTCAAAAAGTAAGTATTTAGTTAATTAATACATAGCTTGGAGGGGTGGCATGCACCTGTACTGCCAGGTGTGTGAGAGTCTGAGTTGACAGGATCACATGGGTGTGTGGTGCCTGGGCTGCAGTGGGCTGAGATCGTGGGGCTGCTGTCCAACCTAGAAGACAGAGTAAGACCCATTCTCGGAAAACAAACAAAAAAACAGTCACATTAGGTAAATTAAAACTATGTAGTGTGAGGAGAATCAAAATAAACGAAACATCATTAGAGCCTACGCGATGTGATGAAGGAAACCAGCTTTCACATAATAACAGCCCCGGCTGGGGAGAACAATGAGAAAGGGCAGAGAGAACCCTGTAAATAATACCACGCCAAATTCCCCAAATGAGTTAAAACACATAAAAGTACGAAGAGTGCTTCTTTTCAATTCAATGCCCTTGAATTCAGAATTAGAAAGTAAACCCAGATAGAGAATAGAAAGATAGACGATACAGATGGAGAGAGTGTGGTGGGGAAGCAAGGGAAGGATGAAAGGGGTGTAAAGGAAGGAAAAGAAAAAAGGAAGGGAGAGAGAGTGACAGATGTTCAAAGACACAGATACAAAGTCTACAATGGTTGTAGAGATAGGCATGTGCAAATTGTCGCAGGGAGTGTGGAAAAATATCGGAACCACGGAGACATAGGTGGAGTCAGAGAAAATATACAAACCCGCACAGAGAAATAAACATACGCAACCACAAACACACACGTGCTACTTTAAACACGAAAAGACACCAAGTCCCTGTCGGTACAAATCACAGATGTGCTTCCGAGTTACTGAGGCACGGTGCAAATTTGTCAGTGCCCTTAGCATCTGTGGCCCACGTGCACGGATATTCAGTGGAAGAAGCATTACACAGCCTGTATAATTCAGCACGATCTGTGATAATACCAGAAGAAGGGATCTCATGTGAAATCACTAGACTGAATTGCACGTAGGATTCAAGCAAGAAGCCCAGTCTGCTGCATCGACTCCGTGGGGTGGCAATATGGCTGAGCCACCAACCCATGGCACGCCCATCCATCGTAGACAGTTCCTGGTTTGCTACCTGCCTTGGAAAAACCTCCTCCCCTACCACCACTTTAAAAAAGGCTAGCTCCAAAACTAGCCCTGGCATCTATTTACGGTCATTTTCTTATCTATTTACCTCCTAGAAAAATCATTGCAAGACCCTTTCCTCAACATTTTCCTATGCCTTAAATTTGGGGCAACACGTTTTAAGACGACCTCGTTATAGGCAACTCCCCAGATGTTTCCTAATCTGAGTTGCCCAGAGTGCACACACCAATCTGTTGCCCCATTGCCGCTATAGGGATACCGTACTGGACCACAGTGTCTTTGACATGCACACAGTAGGATAGAGGGCAGCTTGAGGGGGCCAAAGTGTTCCGACTGTTTTCAGAATAATTTGCTTAGAACACCTGTTTCTCCTGTGTTTGTGGGTCAGGGGGACGGTAGTCAGAGGAGGACAAGACTCCCGCTCCAGAGCTTCAGAGGTCTGCATAGGAGCAGGGACAAAACCGGGCGATAGATTTTCAAAGCTCAACTGCTTTGACACCGAGCAGGAGGGGTAGAATGCATATTGCAGGCACCACAACAGATTCAGGAACTTTGACTGTCAAACCCTCTTCCCTGAAACAACATAGCTCTTCTCACAGAAGCTGTGCTGACCAGAGTCTATACGGGACAGCAATGTTAGCACTCTAGTAGCGTGTGGTCAACATGGATGCTCGTGTTGGAACTGTTTCATCTGGGAACAGGAAAGAAAGTTCTGCCTCCGACACTGAAATCCTCCTGCCCCATCCTTGACAGAGGCAACCCCTTGTCTTGTGCAGACACACGTGTTCCTGGGAAGCAGCCTCCCACTCGCGAATGAAAGCTGTATGTTTTGTCCTCCTGTGTGAGGCTTGCAAAACATATTCCGCAACTATATTCGCTTTACGTTCTAAACCTTAGGCAAACTATGCTGAAGAGGCCACAGAAAATTTAGGGGCCCTGGGTCCAGATACAATCTGCAGTGCCAATCACGAGGGAGAATAGAGCCTCACTAGACTTTGCAAGAGCACAAAATGCACTCGTACTGTTGTTAGCTACATACGTTATTGGCTCCTCACCTAACACAGAATCTTGGAGAAAAGCTTAAAACAACTAAAGATGTAAACATCAACAAGAGTGTCCATATCCTGGGTCATCAAGTGACAAGAGAGTCCATGGATGGATTCTCCAACAATCTTATATTCCACTAATCCACCCCCTTTCCCCTCACTTCTGTAAGTTTCTGTTTTCCCTTAGTCATCTCTGCCAAAAGCGTATCCTGAATGCCTTCCCACATGCCTCTGTCACCTTTCCCACAGTCCCTCCATACACCTTACATGCCCATTTCTTCTCACGTTGATGTTTCAGAAGTCCTGAGAGGCTGATTGTCCCAGAAAAGGATCATGCATTCACCTTTAAAAGAACATGTGGATTCAACACGAAAGCGAACTTTAAGATTTCCATCATCCTGTGCTTAGCTACTGTGTATGATGATACCCAAAATGAAGGATTTTGGAGGTCCCAGCAAACTGGGCCCTGGAAACCCAGTAACCCCTTTCCTTGAACTATCTCTGCTTCCATAGGACGAAGTCAGCCTCCAACTAAGCTGTCTTTTGCTTTTACCTCTCCCACTCTGTCCTGTAGGAAGAATCCCAACACATCCCACACCCATTCACTCTACAACTTTAGAGGCCCAGCTCCAACGCAGACTGGTTATTTCCATGAAGAGAATAAAGCACGTGGATTGATCAATTCATTATGACACCCGAATAAAGTGGATAAACATACACACACAGACACACACACACACAAACACAAAGACACACACACACACACAGACACAGAGTCACACATCCTTGAGAATGTTTATTTTTCATTCCATACAATCCACATTTACCCCCTCTTCCTGAATTTTTGTGACTCGATCTCTTTTTCCTTTAGTTCCTGTGCATAAGACCATGCTGAGTACTGCCGTCCTGCATATGGCTGTAACTTTTTAGGAGTTCTGCTGTATTAGGTAAAATCTGATGCTCCATCATATTCAACTCAACAACTGGGAGTCCCCTAGAGAAACACAAACTCATGTTAAAACGCATTTTCTCTGAGCCATACTTTGAAATGTTTCAATTGTGGGGCCCGCTGAGAAAAGGATATCCCTTCCCCATTTGTGATCCCTTAAACTTCCTCCTACCACGTGTTACAAACTGTTCTGCGCAATCCCTGCCCCATTCCCAGTATTGTCTGTGAGGGGAGTCAGCTAACAAGATGCACTGGGCCCTAAAAGCACACACAAGTCTGATGGGGCAACAGCTTAAGGAAATCCATCAATCTAAACAGTCCTTTGTGGTTTGGGGCAAGGATGACCAGGACGCACATTCAGGGAGCCCAATCTCATGGGGTTGGTGGGATGACTGCCGGTGGGGTTGACAGCCGTGGAATCAAGTGCCACAGACTGAACTGAATGATTTTCAGCTTTACTTCTCATTGATTCTGGAAATGGACGATTCTTCACTGGGCTTAAGACTCCACAGCTATCACCCGCTTTGCAGTGCAGTCTCTAACGTGCCTTTTCAGCCCAATGCCATGAACGTCCTGGATTCTGTCACTCTCTGTCTTCCTCTCAAGGAATTTCTACATGTACGAAAGGAGCCTCAATTTCTACATTTCTGAAATGAGCACCCAGGCTCCCTGAATAGGCAGGTGTGTCAACCCCCTTATACTGGGCATCAAACAGCTCCAGTGCCAACTAACGGCTCACCTGACGTCTCTGTTCCCTCTTCAGGTGGCTTCATCCTCTTGTAGTATTGCAGGGGATTGCGCCACAGGTCCTTACATAGGATCTGTCAGGGGACTCAATCGGGAAAGGCCTCATCAGGGCTCAGAAAGGTGACCCAAGCAGCTGGGAACACATGGGGTCATTCCTCATGTTTCCCAGTGAGGACTCACCTCAGCAATCTTGTTAGATCCTGCGAAGTTGTGGTCAGAGAACCAGTTGAAGAAGTTAAGGCTGCTGTTGTGGTGTCTGCGGCGATAGGCCTCCACTTCATAATCCGGATACCACTCAATTGGAGTGGAATGAGAAGCCCTGTATTCTACAGAGACAGGAGTTTTTGTGGGAAGGGGGCTGGATCCCGTTGGCAATGATCCACCCACCATCTTCCTTCCACTACCCATCCTGGGAGCCACCTGTCACCTGTGATGTTCACCAGATATTCCTTGGTAATCACTTTATTCTGGAAGTAGGGGTTACTCCGAAAGAACAACATGATCTTGCAGAGATGAACAGGATGCTTCTCTTCTTCCACCTGTCAGGACAAGGTGGAGAAAGCTTAGATAGGTTTTCGGGTGAGGTGCTCACTCTTGCTTACAGGAATGAATTATTTCCCTTACCCTCCCCCGCTAAACCCTCTAGCCCCAGTCTTCCTGGCCTCACCTCCAGGCTGACCATGTAGCTCAGCATGTCTTCATCTTCGTCAGTGATCAGGGCTGACATCTGGGGGTGGTTTGCAATCTGATTTAGGTCAAAGAGACTTTACACACGATGGAAGGGAAAGCGAGGAGCAACAGGGAAGAAGGCCTAAGAGCACCCAGAGGCTGGGGTAGGGGATTTCTCAGATCTGCTTCCATGTATGATCTCCTTTCGCCTCCCCCTCCCCTTAAACTAAGGCCTCCTGTGTTCACAGAGGGTGTATGATTCTGAGGCTGACTGCACTGACATGGGGAGGCGCGATTTGCAGAGACTTGCTGGTGTCTGAGGAGTGGCAGAATCTGCTTATAGCCGAAGACGCCCAGTCCCAGATCGGACTAGCAAGGGGCAGCAATCACACTCCCTTAAAAATAGCTTCATTCACTGAAAAACCTCTTCCGCTCTGAACTCGCTTCTGCTCTTCAAAAAGATGCCCCAAACGTCTGCTGCTCGGCATCACCAAGGGTTTCTCTGCCGCATGCAGGACAATAGTACCCACGCCTGCTCCGGCTTTCCACAGCCACACTGGTCCGTGGCAACTCCCCTTTGTTCCCCAAAGAGTCACATCGACGCCGAGCTGCCCATCGGTCACTTACACTTCCCCGAGAGCACCTCTCCACTAGAAAGGCCGAAGAAACACTGAGAAGGATACAACATTGGCCCAGAAGCCAGGGACGCTCTGGATGACGGCGCCTCTGCGGTCTAGGTGGGGCTTGCGCCTCCGCTCCATCTTTTCCCGCTGCCGAGAAAAGGCCTTCCTGGCTTGGGCATTAACCGGCTCCAGCTCCACCTGAACGGCCAGCAGCTCCTCCGGTGCAGACTCTGGGGTCATGGGCCCAGGGCCAGGCACAGCCTGCTGTGCCCGCTGGGCCTCCTCCCGCCGCTCCACGAGGCCCTCCTCCTCCGCCACCACCTCCACCTCCGCCATTATGTCATCCAACAGCAGCACCGCCTCCTCCCCCAAAGCCGCCTGCTCACTCTCCACCCCGGCCGCCCCCTCCTGCACAGCCTCCATCCTGAAGGCGGTGCCCTCCTTGGCACTCGCACACACCAAGGCCTGTGCTGCCCGACCCACGCCACAGAAACCCTGCCGCAGCCTCTCTGGCACCCGGTAGGTCAGCGAGCCCTCAGGGCGCATGCGCCGGGCTTCCAGGCGCCCCCTAAGGGACTGCGCGCGAAGGGCCGGGGGGCCGCACCCAGGCCGACTTCCTCCCGTCGTGGCCAATCAATGGGAGGGCGGTGGGCGTCTCCCTGGGCGGCACAGCCACTGGCGGGCCTGCATCTCCAGCCCCCCCACCCCCCGCCTTCCCTGCCCAAGCCTCCTCCGAGAAGCCCTTGGAGCTTGTGCCGGGTAGCTAGGCATCCGGGCACACGCGGGCTGCGTGGCCTTTGGAATTGTGGGCATGGCAGCCCTGTGCCCTGACATCCTCAGTGTGGCAAGCCATGAACATCTCTATGTGTCATGAACACAGGAAACATCTCTCTTCGTTAGGCAGGCCAGGTAGATGGTACGGAGGTAATACAGCAGATGCAGAGAACTCTCTCTGGTTGCTGGGGCTAGGGCGGCAGGGGTGTCCTGGGGGAAGTGATCGGGGCGGGCACGTGGGAGGAAAGTCGCCTGCCGGTGCTGAGGTGGAATTGATCTGCTGTAGAGGCCAGAGCCCCGGCACACACTCTCACAGGTCGAGGCAAATAGAGGCTCCGAGTACCATGCTTCCTCCCTGAGGATGCTGTACTCCAAGGAGCATTCCAAAGGGCCTCTTGTCCTATGCCCTGGGCACACCAGAGGCCAGCCGCCAGGGTTGGCCATTGTCGGCCTGCGCGCACGCTGTTGTGCGCTGCCTTGACGACCCAGAGGCTCCCGCACCCGCAGCAGCGGTTGCGGTGCCTGTTGGTGGGGCTCTGCAAGCCCAGGGCCGGGGCCTCTGGCTCCCGAGCTCCTGTGCGCAGTTGAGCCTGCTGGGGACCGGAGCCCTTTGGCCAGTGCGGGATCTGCGGGTCCAGCGGAGCTCCTCAGGAAACCTGGGTCCACGTAGGTGTGGGACCAGGTTCACAGCAGGGCGACGCCCGTGGGTCTTGCAGGGAGCGGGTCTGCTGGGGAGCGGGCCCCCAGAGCCTACGGGTGCGGGGCATGGGCTGGGCTGGGCTGGGCTGCGCAGGCCCAGGGTCTGTGGGAGCACCCAGGAGAAAACCGTGTTCAGGCTGGAGGCAATGCTGGAGAGGACGGCCGGGGTACAGAGCAAGGAGGCGGCCTTGGAAGAGGAGGCGGTGCTGAAGGTGGAAGACATCATGGCTGAGGTGGAGGTGGTGGTTGAGGTGGAGCCCGACGTGGGGTGGCAGAAGGAGGGCCAGCGGGCACAGCCTGGCCCTGGACCGAGCACACCGGGGCCGTCAATGGACTCGCTGGAGGTCCTTCACTTGGAGCTGGGCTCCGTGAATGCCCTAGGCCACAGAGCATCTCCGCCTTGTGAGCCAGAGCCATATCCTTGCGGCTGCCGATTTGGGATGGCGGGCAGCAGGGGATAGTCATCGGGCCTCGGGGGGTATGGGGGCTGTTTGGGGGGAGGAGCCAGGTGGGAGGCACGTGGGGTCAGCCAGGAGGCAGGGGATGGGGGACAGCGTGGGAGCCGAGGCCACGTTCCCGCAGCTGTGAGGGCAGCTCGCTTGTAGCAGCCCTGGGAGCACGTGGTAGGGAAGGGGAGCCAGGGCCAGCACTGACAAGGGAGAATCGCGGCGCCAAGGTCCCTTTGCGCACAGCCCAAATTCGAAGGACGCGTTTCCCTGGGAACGTCCCTGGAGGACGGGGAATCTGTATGCCATTACCAGCCATTGAACCACCCCTGCTCTCGGTGCCTGTTTCCAGCAGGCTCACCCCAGAAACACAAGGTGCTTAAGACGGGTTCGCGGCGCATGGGGCTGCCGACCACCTGACGGCGGGCACCAGCTCCGCAGATGCGCATTCATCCAACTGCAGGCGCTGCACTCAAAGGCGTGTAGGCCCTGAGCCTGTATAACTTCCTCTGGACCCACGCAATTCCCTTGGAGAGCGCCAGGCACGACCCTGCTGTGGCTTCTAACTACAAGGCTTCCCTCAGGTGGACAGGCCCACCCCTCAGGGAGACTAGGATAAGAGGACACCACACACCCGGACATCAGCGGAGCATGTCCAGCACCCAGCACACAAAGGCCTCCTGCATCTCAGAAACTCAGAGAAGCAGCCGCCTCACACCACCCCCGGCCCCTCCCGTCCCTCAGCTGCAACCACCTGCCCACTTTTTCTGCCTCCCGTCTCTGGTCAGCCCAGGCCGTCTTGGCCGGGGTCCACCCACTCCAAAAACCACCACAGTTGTGGCGTTGCCTCCTCGCCAGACAGAGATAGAGGGCCAACAATGAAGGGTGACTGGCCAAATGTCTGGGAGATGGCCCTGTTCCACATTGTCTGTGTTCTTGCGAAATTGCAAGGCGTCACGAGGCTTGCCCACCCAATCCTCTGGAGAGTTCTTGCGCAGAGGTAGATTGTTTGGCACACGAGATGTCGGCGTGGGTCGGAAAGCATGCGGAAGTCCTGCTTTGCTACGTGATGGATTTGCAGGTCAGGCTGGGGAGCCTGGGTCTGTGGGAGGAGTCCAGTGTCTGAGTCAGTTTGAGGTCCCCCTGGGGACCAGGGTTGTCTCAGTGGGAGAGCTGGGAAGGGGAAACTCATGGTTCACTACAGCTAGTAGGCCACCTCAGCCCGGCTAGTTGAGATGGTCCCATTGAATCCATCCTCTTTCTCCTTGATCCGGCAGGTGGAGGAACTCAGCCATCCCGGTTACCGGTGGCAGGATGATTTCCTTTCATCCCAACCTTTATTTCCACAGTGAAATCATCATGAAGGAGCACTGTGTTGGCATCCTCGGTAAGGAATGCCTCCCAGCATGGTAGGGGAGCTGGTGTGTGGGAGGGTGGGACTGGCATGAACCTTCCTGACTCCTCTCCCTGCAGGCTACAGGGTGTCTCATTCCACTGCAGTCCAGCGGTTCTGGGATCACGAAGGTCAAGCCTCCAGCTGCAGGCAGTACACCTCCTACCTGAGCTCATTCAGCTGTTTGGCTGAACATGACTGCCCGGGTTTTGGCAGGATTGCTGAGGTGGGGTTCGCCGTGGGGCATCATGGGAAAGGACCTAGCTGGTCATTCCTTGGTCTCTGGGGAATTGGCTTTGAACTGTCACCTGAACTGTCCTGGACCCACTTCTGCAGTCACCTAGATCATCAGCCAGGGCCTATGGCTCAATCCATTGCAGTTCTATCCCATGGAGAGAGGGTCAGCCCTAGAGGCGGAACAGAGAGGAGGCCAGGCGAGCAGCCTAGGGCTGGGAAGGGCTGGGAACTGAGAGGCCTTTTGACCTGGATCTGGGCCCCACATGGAGAACCCAAGGATCCGGGAGGAGACTGCAGTGAGCAATCCCAGGCAATCCGTGGGTTGGGGGAGAGAGGCCCATCAGGGACATGTAACACCCACATTTCAGGATCGGGGCACCTTAAGCCACTATGATGCATATGTGGCTAAAGTCAGTGGGTGACAAGCAGGGCTTAAGGGATAGCTGTCTCATCATTACTCGCCAGCTCCCTGCCCTGCGGTAAGACCTGCTACCACCTGGGGCTCATTTTGAGATCAACCAGGGCCCCCTTTTTCTCCACGAGGATGTCCACCTAAGGCCCACCTAGGTGTATGTCCTTTCATAGTGTTTCTCCCAGGCCAGTCATGTTTTGTTTCCATGACCCCGGCTGCCTTGACATGTGTAATCCTCTCTGCCATCCTCACTCCCGCTGCCCTGCCTTCCCATATAAGTTAGTCCACCTCACACGGAATCTGGAGGACCACACTGGGCTCCAGTGTGAGGCAATGTTTTATTTTCTTCAGGTACATGTATTTTAGGGCTACCTCCAGGGCTGGGAATGTGAAGAGATTGCCAAATGGCTGGGGACCTTCAGTGTGTGTCCAGGGAGGGAACCCGGCTGGGAATTAAGGCCCACCTGAGTAATGGTATGGACATCCAGTGTCAGTTATCTTGATAAAGGCCTGCTTTCTTACATCACCTACTATTAATATAAAAGTTAATTCCTTAGAATATTGAAAAAACAAATCTATGTATGAAGAAATATAATTTGTTCATAATTGTATGGAAAAAGCTGCCGACCGATCCATTTTCCATTACAATTCTTATGGGAGACTTGAAGGGTTTAGCAAGTTTTAAGATGCATTTCTATTCGTCTACTCCTGCCAGTTTTTATGATCATTTTTGTAATACAAGGACATGGCCTCTGGAAAGTTTTTGAGGGACTTTCAGCTTCTTTTAGGGTAGATACTTGTAAATTTTGAATTGTTTTCCCCTGCAGTTCTTTTGAGGTTACTCTTTGTACTTTCTTTGGGGGGTGTTAAATTTGTTTTCTTGTTTTGCCCTTGTGGAACTTTCGTTTTCAAGGAATTGTGTGTGTGTGTGTGTGTGTGTGTGTGTGTGTGTGTGTGTTAGATATGGGAGTTAGCCTGTGAGCATGTTTTCGAATATGGATTTTTTTTTTACTTATCAATTTTGGGGGTGTGTGTGTGTGTGTGTGTGTGTGTGTGTGTTTGTTTCTTTTCAGTTGGAGTCTCACTGTGTCATCCAGGCTGCAGTCAAGTGGCAAACTCTCAGATCACTGCAACCTCTCCCTCCAGCTTCAAAGGATTCCTCTGCCTGCTGATGCTGCTTTTCCCCCACATGAGGAGAACATGCAGACAGTTATAAAAAATTCTGTGCCTGGGTAGGTATGAAAATATAATTTCAATGAATGGTAAATTTCACAAATACAGTTTCACATTTGTATTTTGCAACATTTTGAAAATTTTAGTTGCTGACACATGAAATTCTGTGTTGACTTTCATGTTAAATGTACACTTTTGAATCAATTTCAACAGTGACAACTAGCGAAGGCCAAGCGTTAGTTCAGGAAGCTGAAAGCAGTCGTTCTGTAAAAAAAACCATATTTATTGAAGGTATATTTAGAGAGATTTTAGAAGGCTTCAGTCAATATTTTTGTTTCTGTTGCTCTGGTGTTTTATCATACAGGGACCAGACTGTAGCATCAGTAGCTATAGTTACAAGGCTACCAAAGACTCAGTGCTATAGAAATTATTATTGTGGAAATTGGCAGCCTGGCTGTCTGTTTGAGGAGACTAGAGGACTTAGGAGTTTCCACCCAAAGTACAAGGGCCTGGTTTAGTGGGTGGCCTTCTTTTGCTGAAGTAGATAAGATCCAGGAGAAGGGTGGATTCACTGTAGTAGCCAGGGCTTTGAGACTGGTAAAGCTTATTTGTCTCCTAGTGCCATTGCCAGATATTGGTCTGTGCATAAAGGCACTTCCCGGACTCGCTGACTCCTGTAAATTCAAATGTAGAATTTAGATTTAAATCCCTATTCCAACTTCTTAAACTTAGATCTAATAGGTGGGTAATAAAATATGTATTCAGAAGAAAGGGAGACGTCAGGTAGGTATATAAGCAAATCATCCTGGTCAAATACCTTCAAAAATATTACTACAAAAAATTACTGAAGATTAAACCTTAAAAAAGTTATTTTAATTGGAGAAACAGAAAAAGGTTGGAGTCATTTTAAACCCTGAGGTGTAAAGGTACTGTTATTAGATTACAGGAATTATATACAATGAATAATTTGTGGGAAGAGCAGCATACTATCTCTTTAGTATGGCTAGAGATTCATAAGCCGTGTAAGAAAACTCAGAGATTGAGAAGAAAATGTTTTCAGGGATTTTGTTCTGTTATGAAAGACTTTTAAAATGGTTTCCTACTGATCAATGATTCACTTATATTTATCACTGAGGCATATGCTATATACCCTTCTATATAGGGATGAAGTTATAGTTTCTATCATGTAGATACAAAAACATGTGACTCTGTACCACATTTGCATTAGAGCCTTTGGCATGATTAATGAAGCAAACGGTGGAACTGTCTACGTCAGGTTACAGGTGGGCACAGCTGGAAGCTTCCGTCCCTTGCACTTTAACATTTCTGCATTCTCATCTGTCTCTCCTGGAAAGAAAACGGACTATAACTATCCTAAAGGACATATGTTACATGAAGACACTAAGTATTGAGATAAGACCATGAGTTGTCTTATCAGTGTCTTGGCATTACATTTATATGTATAACTTATACAAAAAATCCAGTTTATTTTATCACGATTACATATTACATCCCACATTTATGTATTTTATTATCTTTCCAGTGACTGTTTTGTTTTGTTTTGTTTTGTTTTGTTTTGAAATCTCGTTCCACTCTGTCACTCAGTCTGGAATGCAGTGGCCTGATCTCAGCTCACTGCAACCTCCATCTCTTGGGTTCAAGGATTTTAAAAATTAGTAAAGAATTTTCAATTGAGTTAGCAGAAGTAAAAATAAACTTAAGTGGAAATAGAACAACAAAATTGTAAACACTATTTCTCAGCAATTCATAGATTATCATACTAGGAATTGAAATGTACTTAGAACTCAATGATACCGCCAATATTAAAGATTAAATCTGTGAGTAGCAAGAAAAGTGATATTACAATAGGAGTTTACAGACAAATATTTCTCTAATAACTTGAAAATTAATGTACTAGATATTTCAATAAAGAATTAGAAAAGAAACAACAGAATCAATTCTGAAAAACTAAAGTGTGGGAATAATGATGTAGACAAAATTAGTAAAACATACAAAGCTAACCTCTGCTTGTTGGAGAAATATAATAAATGATGCAACCGTCAGTCAAGTTTAGAAAAAAAGGGAGAAAACATAGATAAAACTAAGAATTTAAAAGGTACACAACCATAGATACAGCATAGATTAAGAAGCTAATAAGGAAATATCGTTAACACCTTAACCTACAAATTTGAAAACTTAGATCAAATAGACAGATATTTATAATCTGTCTATATATATAGACATATATATCGCTTTCTATATATATTTTCATATTTATACATAATTTTTATATTTGTATCTTACATTTATATATATAATATATAAACATAAGCTATGTATATAGCTTAGTAAAATTGATACAAGAAGACATATATAATCTGTATAGTCTCATAAATGTTCAAGGAAATAAAGGATTCTTCCTAGAGATAAAACGCTAGGCTCAGATTTTTTTCCCCAGGCAGAGCATTTCAATATATATGAAGAATTCTATAGAATAAAAAAGGGAAAATCCTAAACTCATTGTGTGAAGCAAGCAGAACTTTGACGCCAACAAGACATAAACTGAGTGTAGAAAAAGATATGAAAATTAAGGCCATTCTCATTCCTGAAGCAAATCGTAAAATCCCAAATGTAACAAGATTTATGTGGATTCTTTGAGGGTTAGAAGGAAATTTCCTTCTGCCAGATCCTGCTACTCTGGGACAACCCACACACAAATTTATGTTTTGAGATTTTCTGTAATACCCATGCAATATGGAACTGGCTTGACAATCTGTGTGATAGCCAGCCTGTGGCCATGACTTCTCAGGGACACAAATCTTTTCTGTTTGCCTCCTTGTTCTGCTCAGCTCCAAGAGAACTTTGACCAAAGTTCCTTGAGCTTGGAAATAGGAATGGGTTTGCTTCTGTTTCACCCTTACTGTGAAGATACAGTCCGGTGGAATCCAGATCCACTGGGAGAGAGTCGGCTATTAAACTCTTTTCATGAGTAGTCCCTAGGCCTTGACTGGAGTCTTTCTTGAGATATGAGGCTAATAGTTCCTTCTTGGTCCACCACTTTTTGATATAATTAATGCTTCTTCTATTGGGAATTTTTAATTGTTTGGGAAGTGACATGGTTTGGTGTGTCTCCATTCAAATCTCAGCTTCAATTGTATCTCCCAGAATTCCCTCGTGTTGCGGGTGGGACCCAGGGGGAGGTAATTGAATCATGGGGGTCGGTCTTTCTCATGCTATTCTTGTGACAGTGAAGAAGTCTCACGGGATCTGATGGGTTTTTCAGGGGTTTCTGCCTCAGGTTCTTCCTCATTCTCTCTTGGCATTGCCATGTAAGAAGTGCCTTTATTCGTATACCATGATTCTGAGGCCTCCACAGCCATGTGGAACTGTCAGTCCAATTAAACCTCCTTTTATTCCCAGTTTCAGGTATGTCTTCTTCAGCAGCGTGAAAATGAACTAAGACAGGAGGTTTGGTCCAAATAACCTTGGCTTCCATGACAGAAGATAGAAGTTGCTGAAATGTTTAATCTTTTCTGTGGCAACCTTTTGCAGTGGGTCTTATTTTTCTCATTTTTTTTTTCTTGTTCTCTTCACCTTTGTTTCTCACAGGGTACTCTCGCTCTGTAGACCAGGCTGGAGCGCAGTGGCAGGATCTCAGCTCAACACATCCTCCGCCTCCCAGGTTCAGCCTCTGCAGTAGCTGGGATTACAAGCATGCATCACCACGCTCAGCTAATGTTTTGTATTTTTAGTAGAAGCCAGGCTTCACCATGTTGGCCAGGCTGCTCTCCTACTACAGATCTCAGGTGACCCGCCCGACTCAGCTTCCCAAAATCCAAAGTGCTGGGAATACAGGTGTGAGCCACCGAGCCCAGCCAACTCCAGTACTTTTTACCTAAGCCAGTGGACGAGTGGAGTTGCCTTTATTTTTTTTTTTTCTTTTTTCAGTCATGGTCTCGCTGTGTCATCCAGGCTGGAGTGCAGTAGTCTGATCTTGGCTTACTATACAATCTCTGCCACCCATGTTCAGGTGGTTCTCCTGCCTCAGCCTCCCAAGTAGCTGGGACCACAGGAAAGTGCCACTAGGTCTGGCTAATTTTTGTATTTTTGGTAGAGACAGCTTTTTGCCATGTTGCCCATGCTGGTCTCCAACTCCTGACCTCAAGTGACCCACCAACCTCGGCCTCCCAAAATGTAGAAATTACAACAAGAGCCACGAAGCCTGGCCTGGAGTTGTGGCTTTTTGACATAAGAAATCTGTGGAGGGAAAAGCTTGGTTTGTGGGAGCACCCGAGCTCAGTTTGGCTCAAAGGTTTGGGATACCTATTATTGAGTGGCAGTGATGGTATGTTGTTAATGTACAATATGTTCCTGTATATAGCATACGTCTATGCTCATCAGATATTTTCAGGTAAAAAAAAGATAGTCTTTCCAGTAGTTTGAGCCATTATAGCAATTTCCACCAGGGGATTTCAAAGTCCAATTCCAGTTGTGGGCAACAGTGATTAACATAATGGTAATTAATGAGAAGAGATTTTGAGACGTCCAGCCACGTTTCCATGTCAGTGCCTTGTTTGCAGTATTATGAAGAAAGAGTGCATTGGACTAGATACTAAGAAAAACATTGAATTATTTTTCTTGCCTCTATAACATCAAAGGACAATTAGAGATATAGAAACTATGGAACATTTCACAGCATGGCTTGACATTTCACTGAACTTTTATCCTTTTAACCATGTACAAAGTTTGTTACCTATGCAAAGGTAGGACTGCAAAAGGAAGACAGAGGTGGAGTCAGAGGTCACAATCCACAGCAAGGTGACACTCTTGTTGATCGCACCTTGAAAGCCAAATTAGAGCGAGAATTAACTTTCCGGTTGCCGTAAGAGAACAAGGAGAATGAAGCTACCAGCAGTTAACAGTATTGGATTAATTGAAATGAAGGTGGACAGAGTTTTTTGGCTTTCCATCAAATTGAGTAAAGAAAAGGTAACCGCTTATCTAATTTCACACACATACAATTATGGATTAATTAAAAGATTACACAACCCATATATTATGGGTTTCTCATATAAGTGTATATATACATGGGCAAACTCACAGTGTGCCAGTATGTGTCTATATCCAAATATATACAAATCCATGTCCAACAGTTAGCAAGTGAGAAATTCTCTTCCATTTCACCATTCCCTTTCCTAGAATTTTTTCATAAATATAATTTTTCCATATATTTGAAGCCTACTCTCTGGAGGCATGTAATGCATGCATGCAGTAAACCTGTGCGATATCACAATGTTGGTGTCAGAGAAAACTATAACACCGATGTTATAAAAGATTAATTGTGAGGAGAAAGTTATGCTTCGCATTACTACAAATACACAAGTATGATTTCATCCAAAGCTGAAATCAGTCAATATAATTTGTTTTTAATGTTTTATTTAAAATCCTTAATTTCAACAGGATTACTCAAGAAAAATAACGTTATTGGTATTAAATAATGTTGACGTATTCCCTTTAATTGTTGATTATTTAAAATGTCAGTAAAATAGTAAATGGCACTGTACAATGTAGTTTCATGAAGCATTCTTTATAGTTTTCATAAAATTGATAGTCTCCATGGAATATTTTAAGACTGAGGAAGTTCCATATATCATTTGATTGTACTTTCACTTTATTACTTGCTTGCATGTCATAACTGATGGAAATAAAACTATGTATATTTACAAATATGAAAAACATGGATTTTTGTTTACGTTTTCTAGTGAGACACAGTTACCAATAATTTTATCTATATAGGAAAATTTTTACAAACCCAAAGTTCTAATGTTTCTTTTCTTTGAAGTTTCGTATTTCAGTCTAGGTATGTAATGGAATTGGCTGTGATCATTCTTTGATTTCACTGTTATTTGTGAGTTTCTGATATGCTTTTAGGAATGAATAGAGTTTAACGCTTGCTTTCTTCTTCTTCCTCTACCTTTGGACCTGTATATGCGATGTCTGCAGTAATGTGCAGTGCTATCTGACATACGGTTGCTGAAAGATACAAGCATATATAGAATTCTTCGTTTCAGTGAATCTTTAGGAACAGACAAGTAACCTGAGAGATAATTACGGTATGAATGTAAGCAAGCAGTTTATCATAGAGGTACAATAAGGGTGAAAATAAATTTAAAAATACATGCCTCATCCAAAACATGAGGTAGTAAAAATGAAAAATTTAAGTTGGCATAAAGAACACTTTAAAAGTTCTGATTCTTTCTGGTGAGAGCAAGGAGCTCAGAAACCATGAGAAAGTCCTTCAAAGCTGCATGTTGGATTTGCAGGTCAGGATGGAAAGCCTGGGTCTGGGGGAGGGTGCTAAGGTCCTGGTCAGGTTGAGGTCCTTCTGGGGCTCAGGTGTGTCTCAGCGGGAAAGCTGGGAAGGGGAAACGCATGCTTCACCCCGGCTAGAATGCCACCTCAGCCCACCTAGATGAAATTGCCCCTTCACAGCCCTGTTTCTCCTTCTTGGACAGGCAGGTGGAGGAACTCGGCCACCCTGAATACAAGGGGTAGGAAGAAGTTTGCCTTTCATCACAACATTTACTTCGGAAACAAAGTGATGACTAAGGAGTATTGCGTTGGCATCCTCCCTGAGGAGTAGAGGGGGTAGTACCTCGGGAGCTGGGCCTGGCGTGCGCCTTCCTGACTCGTCTCCCTCCAGGATACAGGGCGACTGGCTCCACTGCAGTCCAGTGGTTCTAGGGTCATGCAGGTGAAAGCCCGAGTTTCCCGCAGGTCACTGCCTGAGCTTCTTCAGCTGGTTGTCTGACTGTGAGGGCCCAGGTTACGGCACGATTGCTGAGGTGGGGCAGCTATGGGGCATCATGGCAAAGGACCTTCTTCGACATTCCTTGGCATCGGAGGAATTGGCTTTGAACCAGAACCTGACCTGTCACGACCAATTTGCCCAGTCCACCAGATCATCAGCCAGGGCCTGTGGCTCTATATTCTGCAGCACTACCCAAGGGAGTTAGGCCCTCAGAGAGGGAACAGAGAAGAGGCCAGGGAAGCAGCCCAGGGCTGGGGGTTGACAGGCCTGTGGGTCCTGGAGTTAGGACACACATAGAGAAGCCAAGGCTCAGGGAGGAGACTGCAGTAAGGAAACTCAGGCCATCATGGGCTGGTGGAGAAATGCCCATCAGGGAACTGTGGTACCCACATTTCACGATGGGGGAACCGTAATCTGCTTAATAGGCATAAGTAGCTAAGGTCAATGGGTGGGAAGCCAGGGTCAAGAGATAGCTGCCTCATCATCCCTTGCTAGCTACTTCCCTGTCCTGAGGCTTGCTTCTACCTGGGGTTCAGTTTGGGCTCAACCAGGGATCTCTCACCCTCCACACAGATGCCCACCTGAGGCCTCTCTAGGTCTGCGTCCTCCCAGAATGACTCTCCCAGGCCTGCTAAGTACCGTTTGGATGACACCACGCTCCACTGACATGCTTGGTTCCCTCCGCCATCCTCATTCACCCAGCAACTCCCCACCCCAAAAAAGGCAGGCCACCGCACAGGGAATCTGGAGGACCACACAGGGCTCACAGGGGAGGAAATGTGAAGAGATGGCAAAACAGAACAGGACATTCCGTGTGTTTCCAGAAGGCAATCTGGCTGGATATTAAGGCCCACCTCAGTATTGGTGAGGACACCCAGTGTCTCTTGGCCCTGAGCTTGTGCACACAAACACGCACATTGTCTAAACGGCATTGACATCACTACTACCTGAGTCATCCTCAGATTCTATACAACCCCTGTAAAAATATCAATGACACATTCTTCTTAGAAAAACAATCTGGGAATCCCAAATTTGCTATGAAATGGCAGAAGATCCTGAAAACCCAGAGCAATCCAGTAAAAAGCACAAAGCTGGAGCCACCACACTACCTAACTTCATGATATACTACTACAAAACTTTTTGTACCAAAATACAATAGCACTGGCAGAAAAGCAGAGACTAGAGCTTAGGAAAAACAACAGGAGCCCAGAACTAAGTCACTGCATTTGCAGCTCACAGCCTTTTCCCAAAGAAGCAAGAACGCCCAATGCAAAATCAAGTATCTTCTATAAACTAGGTTGGGGAAATCTGAATAGCCACACAAAGGATTTTACAAGTGGATTATTTATCACCAAACTCCAGTGTCAGATGTGAAACGATAAAAATAGCAGAAGAGATCACAAGGAAGAAGCTCCATGGCGTCCGTGTGTGCAATGATGGTCTCAAAGTGACTGCAAGAACACAGTAAACACCATCAAAAATAGAGAATGGAATCATATCAAACTAAAGTGCTTCACCACACCATAGAAAACTCAACATACAGAAGGGGCATCCTACAGGATGGGAGCAATGATTGGATCACCATACATCTGTTCATGGGGGAATAGTCACAGTACATAAGGAACTCCCAACAACTCAATAGCATGAAAACAAATGGGCGAAGGCTGCGAAGACTCATTTGTGAAACTGAGACATACAGTTGCCCAGAAGACACACTAAAAATTCCTCATTATCCCCAATCCATCACGAAAATGCAAATCAAAAACACAATGAGATTTCTTCTCACTTCAGTCAGAATGCATATTATCCGAAAGACAAACAAACAAAAAAAAAAAAAGAAAGAAAAGAAAACCCTAATCTCTGGTGAGGAGGCAGAGAAAACGAATTCCCTGCTCACTTTTGGGGAGAATGTAAATTAGTGCTGGCATTAAAGAAGCTTTATTGCTCTTATTTAAGTATAAACAGCCTTCAGAAATCTACAATTAGAACCACCCACTATATGATCCAGCAAATCAGAATACCCGGGCACGCCCGCCAGTACACAGATCAGTATGTTGAAGCGGTGCGCGCACCCATGCAATTATTGCTGCACTCATTACATTTTTGCTGTAGCCAAAATGCGGAAGCAACCTGAGTGTCCCTCCATTGATAAGTGGATTAAAAAATGGGGCAAAAACGCATATGCGCAACGGAAATATGCGCTGCAATAAGAAATCAGGAAATCCTGCCAGTTGTGAGAATGTGTGGGAATCTGCTGAATGTGTGCATGCCATTCTGTTAAGTGACATAAGCCAGGTATCAGAAATGAAAATAGCACATGATCTCATTCTTATATGAAATCAAAAAAGCGGACTTCACAGAAGTAGTGACTCCAATGACTGCGGTGAAGAGGGTGCACTGACGAGATGCTGGATGAAGAACTCATACTTCTAGTTATAAAGGAGGAATAGGTTAAAAATATTTTCTTCAGCATGCTCACTATAACTAGTGGTAACATATTCTTTCTCTAAAAATATTCGAATACAGTGCAAGTCAAGTTTTTTCACAACAAAAATGACAACTATGTGAGGTCACACATATGTTGATTGGCTGGATGTATCCAATGCATAATGTATATGACCTGTTGAACATCACGCCTTAAGTTGTAAATATGTATCATTTCATATGACATTTTTTAAACAAACATACAATTTTTAAAATGCCTTAACAAAATAAATGCAAATAAAATATTTTATTATAAAGCAGTGCTTTTCTTTTCTAGCAAAGTCTTTTTCATGACACAGGAAAGAATGCAAGCCGTTTCGTAACTTGAGAAATAAATACATATGTGTACATGTATATATATACGTATATACATGTATATACGTATATAAATGTGCATATATACGTATATACATGTATATACATATATATGTGTGTACATAGGTATTCTTATATACATATATATATATATATATATATATATATATATATATATATGAAAATCCCAATGAATGCTGATGATGAGTTGAAAGATAGAAATTCCAGGCACAGAGACTACAGTCCATGAATTGAAACCTTCAGTGCATGTTTCAAAACAAGACGTGAGGAGGAGGAAGAAAAAAGCAAAAAACACAAAGCCATGGCAGGGCCATGGGTCACACCTGTCATCCCAGCACTTTGATAAGCTGAGGTGGGAGGATTGCCTGCACTCAGGAGTTCCAGATGAGCCTGGGGCAACATGGACCCACATTCAAAAAGTAAGTATTTAGTTAATTAATACATAGCTTGGAGGGGTGGCATGCACCTGTACTGCCAGGTGTGTGAGAGTCTGAGTTGACAGGATCACATGGGTGTGTGGTGCCTGGGCTGCAGTGGGCTGAGATCGTGGGGCTGCTGTCCAACCTAGAAGACAGAGTAAGACCCATTCTCGGAAAACAAACAAAAAAACAGTCACATTAGGTAAATTAAAACTATGTAGTGTGAGGAGAATCAAAATAAACGAAACATCATTAGAGCCTACGCGATGTGATGAAGGAAACCAGCTTTCACATAATAACAGCCCCGGCTGGGGAGAACAATGAGAAAGGGCAGAGAGAACCCTGTAAATAATACCACGCCAAATTCCCCAAATGAGTTAAAACACATAAAAGTACGAAGAGTGCTTCTTTTCAATTCAATGCCCTTGAATTCAGAATTAGAAAGTAAACCCAGATAGAGAATAGAAACATAGACGATACAGATGGAGAGAGTGTGGTGGGGAAGCAAGGGAAGGATGAAAGGGGTGTAAAGGAAGGAAAAGAAAAAAGGAAGGGAGAGAGAGTGACAGATGTTCAAAGACACAGATACAAAGTCTACAATGGTTGTAGAGATAGGCATGTGCAAATTGTCGCAGGGAGTGTGGAAAAATATCGGAACCACGGAGACATAGGTGGAGTCAGAGAAAATATACAAACCCGCACAGAGAAATAAACATACGCAACCACAAACACACACGTGCTACTTTAAACACGAAAAGACACCAAGTCCCTGTCGGTACAAATCACAGATGTGCTTCCGAGTTACTGAGGCACGGTGCAAATTTGTCAGTGCCCTTAGCATCTGTGGCCCACGTGCACGGATATTCAGTGGAAGAAGCATTACACAGCCTGTATAATTCAGCACGATCTGTGATAATACCAGAAGAAGGGATCTCATGTGAAATCACTAGACTGAATTGCACGTAGGATTCAAGCAAGAAGCCCAGTCTGCTGCATCGACTCCGTGGGGTGGCAATATGGCTGAGCCACCAACCCATGGCACGCCCATCCATCGTAGACAGTTCCTGGTTTGCTACCTGCCTTGGAAAAACCTCCTCCCCTACCACCACTTTAAAAAAGGCTAGCTCCAAAACTAGCCCTGGCATCTATTTACGGTCATTTTCTTATCTATTTACCTCCTAGAAAAATCATTGCAAGACCCTTTCCTCAACATTTTCCTATGCCTTAAATTTGGGGCAACACGTTTTAAGACGACCTCGTTATAGGCAAGTCCCCAGACGTTTCCTAATCTGAGTTGCCCAGAGTGCACACACCAATCTGTTGCCCCATTGCCGCTATAGGGATACCGTACTGGACCACAGTGTCTTTGACATGCACACAGTAGGATAGAGGGCAGCTTGAGGGGGCCAAAGTGTTCCGACTGTTTTCAGAATAATTTGCTTAGAACACCTGTTTCTCCTGTGTTTGTGGGTCAGGGGGACGGTAGTCAGAGGAGGACAAGACTCCCGCTCCAGAGCTTCAGAGGTCTGCATAGGAGCAGGGACAAAACCGGGCGATAGATTTTCAAAGCTCAACTGCTTTGACACCGAGCAGGAGGTGTAGAATGCATATTGCAGGCACCACAACAGATTCAGGAACTTTGACTGTCAAACCCTCTTCCCTGAAACAACATAGCTCTTCTCACAGAAGCTGTGCTGACCAGAGTCTATACGGGACAGCAATGTTAGCACTCTAGTAGCGTGTGGTCAACATGGATGCTCGTGTTGGAACTGTTTCATCTGGGAACAGGAAAGAAAGTTCTGCCTCCGACACTGAAATCCTCCTGCCCCATCCTTGACAGAGGCAACCCCTTGTCTTGTGCAGACACACGTGTTCCTGGGAAGCAGCCTCCCACTCGCGAATGAAAGCTGTATGTTTTGTCCTCCTGTGTGAGGCTTGCAAAACATATTCCGCAACTATATTCGCTTTACGTTCTAAACCTTAGGCAAACTATGCTGAAGAGGCCACAGAAAATTTAGGGGCCCTGGGCACCAGATACAATCTGCAGTGCCAATCACGAGGGAGAATAGAGCCTCACTAGACTTTGCAAGAGCACAAAATGCACTCGTACTGTTGTTAGCTACATACGTTATTGGCTCCTCACCTAACACAGAATCTTGGAGAAAAGCTTAAAACAACTAAAGATGTAAACATCAACAAGAGTGTCCATATCCTGGGTCATCAAGTGACAAGAGAGTCCATGGATGGATTCTCCAACAATCTTATATTCCACTAATCCACCCCCTTTCCCCTCACTTCTGTAAGTTTCTGTTTTCCCTTAGTCATCTATGCCAAAAGCGTATCCTGAATGCCTTCCCACATGCCTCTGTCACCTTTCCCACAGTCCCTCCATACACCTTACATGCCCATTTCTTCTCACGTTGATGTTTCAGAAGTCCTGAGAGGCTGATTGTCCCAGAAAAGGATCATGCATTCACCTTTAAAAGAACATGTGGATTCAACACGAAAGCGAACTTTAAGATTTCCATCATCCTGTGCTTAGCTACTGTGTATGATGATACCCAAAATGAAGGATTTTGGAGGTCCCAGCAAACTGGGCCCTGGAAACCCAGTAACCCCTTTCCTTGAACTATCTCTGCTTCCATAGGACGAAGTCAGCCTCCAACTAAGCTGTCTTTTGCTTTTACCTCTCCCAGTCTGTCCTGTAGGAAGAATCCCAACACATCCCACACCCATTCACTCTACAACTTTAGAGGCCCAGCTCCAACGCAGACTGGTTATTTCCATGAAGAGAATAAAGCACGTGGATTGATCAATTCATTATGACACCCGAATAAAGTGGATAAACATACACACACACACACACACACACACAAACACAAAGACACACACACACACACAGACACAGAGTCACACATCCTTGAGAATGTTTATTTTTCATTCCATACAATCCACATTTACCCCCTCTTCCTGAATTTTTGTGACTCGATCTCTTTTTCCTTTAGTTCCTGTGCATAAGACCATGCTGAGTACTGCCGTCCTGCATATGGCTGTAACTTTTTAGGAGTTCTGCTGTATTAGGTAAAATCTGATGCTCCATCATATTCAACTCAACAACTGGGAGTCCCCTAGAGAAACACAAACTCATGTTAAAACGCATTTTCTCTGAGCCATACTTTGAAATGTTTCAATTGTGGGGCCCGCTGAGAAAAGGATATCCCTTCCCCATTTGTGATCCCTTAAACTTCCTCCTACCACGTGTTACAAACTGTTCTGCGCAATCCCTGCCCCATTCCCAGTATTGTCTGTGAGGGGAGTCAGCTAACAAGATGCACTGGGCCCTAAAAGCACACACAAGTCTGATGGGGCAACAGCTTAAGGAAATCCATCAATCTAAACAGTCCTTTGTGGTTTGGGGCAAGGATGACCAGGACGCACATTCAGGGAGCCCAATCTCATGGGGTTGGTGGGATGACTGCCGGTGGGGTTGACAGCCGTGGAATCAAGTGCCACAGACTGAACTGAATGATTTTCAGCTTTACTTCTCATTGATTCTGGAAATGGACGATTCTTCACTGGGCTTAAGACTCCACAGCTATCACCCGCTTTGCAGTGCAGTCTCTAACGTGCCTTTTCAGCCCAATGCCATGAACGTCCTGGATTCTGTCACTCTCTGTCTTCCTCTCAAGGAATTTCTACATGTACGAAAGGAGCCTCAATTTCTACATTTCTGAAATGAGCACCCAGGCTCCCTGAATAGGCAGGTGTGTCAACCCCCTTATACTGGGCATCAAACAGCTCCAGTGCCAACTAACGGCTCACCTGACGTCTCTGTTCCCTCTTCAGGTGGCTTCATCCTCTTGTAGTATTGCAGGGGATTGCGCCACAGGTCCTTACATAGGATCTGTCAGGGGACTCAATCGGGAAAGGCCTCATCAGGGCTCAGAAAGGTGACCCAAGCAGCTGGGAACACACGGGGTCATTCCTCATGTTTCCCAGTGAGGACTCACCTCAGCAATCTTGTTAGATCCTGCGAAGTTGTGGTCAGAGAACCAGTTGAAGAAGTTAAGGCTGCTGTTGTGGTGTCTGCGGCGATAGGCCTCCACTTCATAATCCGGATACCACTCAATTGGAGTGGAATGAGAAGCCCTGTATTCTACAGAGACAGGAGTTTTTGTGGGAAGGGGGCTGGATCCCGTTGGCAATGATCCACCCACCATCTTCCTTCCACTACCCATCCTGGGAGCCACCTGTCACCTGTGATGTTCACCAGATATTCCTTGGTAATCACTTTATTCTGGAAGTAGGGGTTACTCCGAAAGAACAACATGATCTTGCAGAGATGAACAGGATGCTTCTCTTCTTCCACCTGTCAGGACAAGGTGGAGAAAGCTTAGATAGGTTTTCGGGTGAGGTGCTCACTCTTGCTTACAGGAATGAATTATTTCCCTTACCCTCCCCCGCTAAACCCTCTAGCCCCAGTCTTCCTGGCCTCACCTCCAGGCTGACCATGTAGCTCAGCATGTCTTCATCTTCGTCAGTGATCAGGGCTGACATCTGGGGGTGGTTTGCAATCTGATTTAGGTCAAAGAGACTTTACACACGATGGAAGGGAAAGCGAGGAGCAACAGGGAAGAAGGCCTAAGAGCACCCAGAGGCTGGGGTAGGGGATTTCTCAGATCTGCTTCCACGTATGATCTCCTTTCGCCTCCCCCTCCCCGTAAACTAAGGCCTCCTGTGTTCACAGAGGGTGTATGATTCTGAGGCTGACTGCACTGACATGGGGAGGCGCGATTTGCAGAGACTTGCTGGTGTCTGAGGAGTGGCAGAATCTGCTTATAGCCGAAGACGCCCAGTCCCAGATCGGACTAGCAAGGGGCAGCAATCACACTCCCTTAAAAATAGCTTCATTCACTGAAAAACCTCTTCCGCTCTGAACTCGCTTCTGCTCTTCAAAAAGATGCCCCAAACGTCTGCTGCTCGGCATCACCAAGGGTTTCTCTGCCGCATGCAGGACAATAGTACCCACGCCTGCTCCGGCTTTCCACAGCCACACTGGTCCGTGGCAACTCCCCTTTGTTCCCCAAAGAGTCACATCGACGCCGAGCTGCCCATCGGTCACTTACACTTCCCCGAGAGCACCTCTCCACTAGAAAGGCCGAAGAAACACTGAGAAGGATACAACATTGGCCCAGAAGCCAGGGACGCTCTGGATGACGGCGCCTCTGCGGTCTAGGTGGGGCTTGCGCCTCCGCTCCATCTTTTCCCGCTGCCGAGAAAAGGCCTTCCTGGCTTGGGCATTAACCGGCTCCAGCTCCACCTGAACGGCCAGCAGCTCCTCCAGTGCAGACTCTGGGGTCATGGGCCCAGGGCCAGGCACAGCCTGCTGTGCCCGCTGGGCCTCCTCCCGCCGCTCCACGAGGCCCTCCTCCTCCGCCACCACCTCCACCTCCGCCATTATGTCATCCAACAGCAGCACCGCCTCCTCCCCCAAAGCCGCCTGCTCACTCTCCACCCCGGCCGCCCCCTCCTGTACAGCCTCCATCCTGAAGGCGGTGCCCTCCTTGGCACTCGCACACACCAAGGCCTGTGCTGCCCGACCCACGCCACAGAAACCCTGCCGCAGCCTCTCTGGCACCCGGTAGGTCAGCGAGCCCTCAGGGCGCATGCGCCGGGCTTCCAGGCGCCCCCTAAGGGACTGCGCGCGAAGGGCCGGGGGGCCGCACCCAGGCCGACTTCCTCCCGTCGTGGCCAGTCAATGGGAGGGCGGTGGGCGTCTCCCTGGGCGGCACAGCCACTGGCGGGCCTGCATCTCCAGCCCCCCCACCCCCCGCCTTCCCTGCCCAAGCCTCCTCCGAGAAGCCCTTGGAGCTTGTGCCGGGTAGCTAGGCATCCGGGCACACGCGGGCTGCGTGGCCTTTGGAATTGTGGGCATGGCAGCCCTGTGCCCTGACATCCTCAGTGTGGCAAGCCATGAACATCTCTATGTGTCATGAACACAGGAAACATCTCTCTTCGTTAGGCAGGCCAGGTAGATGGTACGGAGGTAATACAGCAGATGCAGAGAACTCTCTCTGGTTGCTGGGGCAAGGGCGGCAGGGGTGTCCTGGGGGAAGTGATCGGGGCGGGCACGTGGGAGGAAAGTCGCCTGCCGGTGCTGAGGTGGAATTGATCTGCTGTAGAGGCCAGAGCCCCGGCACACACTCTCACAGGTCGAGGCAAATAGAGGCTCCGAGTACCATGCTTCCTCCCTGAGGATGCTGTACTCCAAGGAGCATTCCAAAGGGCCTCTTGTCCTATGCCCTGGGCACACCAGAGGCCAGCCGCCAGGGTTGGCCATTGTCGGCCTGCGCGCACGCTGTTGTGCGCTGCCTTGACGACCCAGAGGCTCCCGCACCCGCAGCAGCGGTTGCGGTGCCTGTTGGTGGGGCTCTGCAAGCCCAGGGCCGGGGCCTCTGGCTCCCGAGCTCCTGTGCGCAGTTGAGCCTGCTGGGGACCGGAGCCCTTTGGCCAGTGCGGGATCTGCGGGTCCAGCGGAGCTCCTCAGGAAACCTGGGTCCACGTAGGTGTGGGACCAGGTTCTCAGCAGGGCGACGCCCGTGGGTCTTGCAGGGAGCGGGTCTGCTGGGGAGCGGGCCCCCAGAGCCTACGGGTGCGGGGCATGGGCTGGGCTGGGCTGGGCTGCGCAGGCCCAGGGTCTGTGGGAGCACCCAGGAGAAAACCGTGTTCAGGCTGGAGGCAATGCTGGAGAGGACGGCCGGGGTACAGAGCAAGGAGGCGGCCTTGGAAGAGGAGGCGGTGCTGAAGGTGGAAGACATCATGGCTGAGGTGGAGGTGGTGGTTGAGGTGGAGCCCGACGTGGGGTGGCAGAAGGAGGGCCAGCGGGCACAGCCTGGCCCTGGACCGAGCACACCGGGGCCGTCAATGGACTCGCTGGAGGTCCTTCACTTGGAGCTGGGCTCCGTGAATGCCCCAGGCCACAGAGCATCTCCGCCTTGTGAGCCAGAGCCATATCCTTGCGGCTGCCGATTTGGGATGGCGGGCAGCAGGGGATAGTCATCGGGCCTCGGGGGGTATGGGGGCTGTTTGGGGGGAGGAGCCAGGTGGGAGGCACGTGGGGTCAGCCAGGAGGCAGGGGATGGGGGACAGCGTGGGAGCCGAGGCCACGTTCCCGCAGCTGTGAGGGCAGCTCGCTTGTAGCAGCCCTGGGAGCACGTGGTAGGGAAGGGGAGCCAGGGCCAGCACTGACAAGGGAGAATCGCGGCGCCAAGGTCCCTTTGCGCACAGCCCAAATTCGAAGGACGCGTTTCCCTGGGAACGTCCCTGGAGGACGGGGAATCTGTATGCCATTACCAGCCATTGAACCACCCCTGCTCTCGGTGCCTGTTTCCAGCAGGCTCACCCCAGAAACACAAGGTGCTTAAGACGGGTTCGCGGCGCATGGGGCTGCCGACCACCTGACGGCGGGCACCAGCTCCGCAGATGCGCATTCATCCAACTGCAGGCGCTGCACTCAAAGGCGTGTAGGCCCTGAGCCTGTATAACTTCCTCTGGACCCACGCAATTCCCTTGGAGAGCGCCAGGCACGACCCTGCTGTGGCTTCTAACTACAAGGCTTCCCTCAGGTGGACAGGCCCACCCCTCAGGGAGACTAGGATAAGAGGACACCACACACCCGGACATCAGCGGAGCATGTCCAGCACCCAGCACACAAAGGCCTCCTGCATCTCAGAAACCCAGAGAAGCAGCCGCCTCACACCACCCCCGGTCCCTCCCGTCCCTCAGCTGCAACCACCTGCCCACTTTTTCTGCCTCCCGTCTCTGGTCAGCCCAGGCCGTCTTGGCCGGGGTCCACCCACTCCAAAAACCACCACAGTTGTGGCGTTGCCTCCTCGCCAGACAGAGATAGAGGGCCAACAATGAAGGGTGACTGGCCAAATGTCTGGGAGATGGCCCTGTTCCACATTGTCTGTGTTCTTGCGAAATTGCAAGGCGTCACGAGGCTTGCCCACCCAATCCTCTGGAGAGTTCTTGCGCAGAGGTAGATTGTTTGGCACACGAGATGTCGGCGTGGGTCGGAAAGCATGCGGAAGTCCTGCTTTGCTACGTGATGGATTTGCAGGTCAGGCTGGGGAGCCTGGGTCTGTGGGAGGAGTCCAGTGTCTGAGTCAGTTTGAGGTCCCCCTGGGGACCAGGGTTGTCTCAGTGGGAGAGCTGGGAAGGGGAAACTCATGGTTCACTACAGCTAGTAGGCCACCTCAGCCCGGCTAGTTGAGATGGTCCCATTGAATCCATCCTCTTTCTCCTTGATCCGGCAGGTGGAGGAACTCAGCCATCCCGGTTACCGGTGGCAGGATGATTTCCTTTCATCCCAACCTTTATTTCCACAGTGAAATCATCATGAAGGAGCACTGTGTTGGCATCCTCGGTAAGGAATGCCTCCCAGCATGGTAGGGGAGCTGGTGTGTGGGAGGGTGGGACTGGCATGAACCTTCCTGACTCCTCTCCCTGCAGGCTACAGGGTGTCTCATTCCACTGCAGTCCAGCGGTTCTGGGATCACGAAGGTCAAGCCTCCAGCTGCAGGCAGTACACCTCCTACCTGAGCTCATTCAGCTGTTTGGCTGAACATGACTGCCCGGGTTTTGGCAGGATTGCTGAGGTGGGGTTCGCCGTGGGGCATCATGGGAAAGGACCTAGCTGGTCATTCCTTGGTCTCTGGGGAATTGGCTTTGAACTGTCACCTGAACTGTCCTGGACCCACTTCTGCAGTCACCTAGATCATCAGCCAGGGCCTATGGCTCAATCCATTGCAGTTCTATCCCATGGAGAGAGGGTCAGCCCTAGAGGCGGAACAGAGAGGAGGCCAGGCGAGCAGCCTAGGGCTGGGAAGGGCTGGGAACTGAGAGGCCTTTTGACCTGGATCTGGGCCCCACATGGAGAACCCAAGGATCCGGGAGGAGACTGCAGTGAGCAATCCCAGGCAATCCGTGGGTTGGGGGAGAGAGGCCCATCAGGGACATGTAACACCCACATTTCAGGATCGGGGCACCTTAAGCCACTATGATGCATATGTGGCTAAAGTCAGTGGGTGACAAGCAGGGCTTAAGGGATAGCTGTCTCATCATTACTCGCCAGCTCCCTGCCCTGCGGTAAGACCTGCTACCACCTGGGGCTCATTTTGAGATCAACCAGGGCCCCCTTTTTCTCCACGAGGATGTCCACCTGAGGCCCACCTAGGTCTGTGTCCTTTCACAGTGTTTCTCCCAGGCCAGTCATGTTTTGTTTCCATGACCCCGGCTGCCTTGACATGTGTAATCCTCTCTGCCATCCTCACTCCCGCTGCCCTGCCTTCCCATATAAGTTAGTCCACCTCACACGGAATCTGGAGGACCACACTGGGCTCCAGTGTGAGGCAATGTTTTATTTTCTTCAGGTACATGTATTTTAGGGCTACCTCCAGGGCTGGGAATGTGAAGAGATTGCCAAATGGCTGGGGACCTTCAGTGTGTGTCCAGGGAGGGAACCCGGCTGGGAATTAAGGCCCACCTGAGTAATGGTATGGACATCCAGTGTCAGTTATCTTGATAAAGGCCTGCTTTCTTACATCACCTACTATTAATATAAAAGTTAATTCCTTAGAATATTGAAAAAACAAATCTATGTATGAAGAAATATAATTTGTTCATAATTGTATGGAAAAAGCTGCCGACCGATCCATTTTCCATTACAATTCTTATGGGAGACTTGAAGGGTTTAGCAAGTTTTAAGATGCATTTCTATTCGTCTACTCCTGCCAGTTTTTATGATCATTTTTGTAATACAAGGACATGGCCTCTGGAAAGTTTTTGAGGGACTTTCAGCTTCTTTTAGGGTAGATACTTGTAAATTTTGAATTGTTTTCCCCTGCGGTTCTTTTGAGGTTACTCTTTGTACTTTCTTTGGGGGGTGTTAAATTTGTTTTCTTCTTTTGCCCTTGTGGAACTTTCGTTTTCAAGGAATTGTGTGTGTGTGTGTGTGTGTGTGTGTGTGTGTGTGTGTGTTAGATATGGGAGATAGCCTGTGAGCATGTTTTCGAATATGGATTTTTTATTTTCTTATCAATTTTGGGTGTGTGTGTGTGTGTGTGTGTGTGTGTGTGTGTGTTTGTTTCTTTTCAGTTGGAGTCTCACTGTGTCATCCAGGCTGCAGTCAAGTGGCAAACTCTCAGATCACTGCAACCTCTCCCTCCAGCTTCAAAGGATTCCTCTGCCTGCTGATGCTGCTTTTCCCCCACATGAGGAGAACATGCAGACAGTTATAAAAAATTCTGTGCCTGGGTAGGTATGAAAATATAATTTCAATGAATGGTAAATTTCACAAATACAGTTTCACATTTGTATTTTGCAACATTTTGAAAATTTTAGTTGCTGACACATGAAATTCTGTGTTGACTTTCATGTTAAATGTACACTTTTGAATCAATTTCAACAGTGACAACTAGCGAAGGCCAAGCGTTAGTTCAGGAAGCTGAAAGCAGTCGTTCTGTAAAAAAAACCATATTTATTGAAGGTATATTTAGAGAGATTTTAGAAGGCTTCAGTCAATATTTTTGTTTCTGTTGCTCTGGTGTTTTATCATACAGGGACCAGACTGTAGCATCAGTAGCTATAGTTACAAGGCTACCAAAGACTCAGTGCTATAGAAATTATTATTGTGGAAATTGGCAGCCTGGCTGTCTGTTTGAGGAGACTAGAGGACTTAGGAGTTTCCACCCAAAGTACAAGGGCCTGGTTTAGTGGGTGGCCTTCTTTTGCTGAAGTAGATAAGATCCAGGAGAAGGGTGGATTCACTGTAGTAGCCAGGGCTTTGAGACTGGTAAAGCTTATTTGTCTCCTAGTGCCATTGCCAGATATTGGTCTGTGCATAAAGGCACTTCCCGGACTCGCTGACTCCTGTAAATTCAAATGTAGAATTTAGATTTAAATCCCTATTCCAACTTCTTAAACTTAGATCTAATAGGTGGGTAATAAAATATGTATTCAGAAGAAAGGGAGACGTCAGGTAGGTATATAAGCAAATCATCCTGGTCAAATACCTTCAAAAATATTACTACAAAAAATTACTGAAGATTAAACCTTAAAAAAGTTATTTTAATTGGAGAAACAGAAAAAGGTTGGAGTCATTTTAAACCCTGAGGTGTAAAGGTACTGTTATTAGATTACAGGAATTATATACAATGAATAATTTGTGGGAAGAGCAGCATACTATCTCTTTAGTATGGCTAGAGATTCATAAGCCGTGTAAGAAAACTCAGAGATTGAGAAGAAAATGTTTTCAGGGATTTTGTTCTGTTATGAAAGACTTTTAAAATGGTTTCCTACTGATCAATGATTCACTTATATTTATCACTGAGGCATATGCTATATACCCTTCTATATAGGGATGAAGTTATAGTTTCTATCATGTAGATACAAAAACATGTGACTCTGTACCACATTTGCATTAGAGCCTTTGGCATGATTAATGAAGCAAACGGTGGAACTGTCTACGTCAGGTTACAGGTGGGCACAGCTGGAAGCTTCCGTCCCTTGCACTTTAACATTTCTGCATTCTCATCTGTCTCTCCTGGAAAGAAAACGGACTATAACTATCCTAAAGGACATATGTTACATGAAGACACTAAGTATTGAGATAAGACCATGAGTTGTCTTATCAGTGTCTTGGCATTACATTTATATGTATAACTTATACAAAAAATCCAGTTTATTTTATCACGATTACATATTACATCCCACATTTATGTATTTTATTATCTTTCCAGTGACTGTTTTGTTTTGTTTTGTTTTGTTTTGTTTTGAAATCTCGTTCCACTCTGTCACTCAGTCTGGAATGCAGTGGCCTGATCTCAGCTCACTGCAACCTCCATCTCTTGGGTTCAAGGATTTTAAAAATTAGTAAAGAATTTTCAATTGAGTTAGCAGAAGTAAAAATAAACTTAAGTGGAAATAGAACAACAAAATTGTAAACACTATTTCTCAGCAATTCATAGATTATCATACTAGGAATTGAAATGTACTTAGAACTCAATGATACCGCCAATATTAAAGATTAAATCTGTGAGTAGCAAGAAAAGTGATATTACAATAGGAGTTTACAGACAAATATTTCTCTAATAACTTGAAAATTAATGTACTAGATATTTCAATAAAGAATTAGAAAAGAAACAACAGAATCAATTCTGAAAAACTAAAGTGTGGGAATAATGATGTAGACAAAATTAGTAAAACATACAAAGCTAACCTTTGCTTGTTGGAGAAATATAATAAATGATGCAACCGTCAGTCAAGTTTAGAAAAAAAGGGAGAAAACATAGATAAAACTAAGAATTTAAAAGGTACACAACCATAGATACAGCATAGATTAAGAAGCTAATAAGGAAATATCGTTAACACCTTAACCTACAAATTTGAAAACTTAGGTCAAATAGACAGATATTTATAATCTGTCTATATATATAGACATATATATCGCTTTCTATATATATTTTCATATTTATACATAATTTTTATATTTGTATCTTACATTTATATATATAATATATAAACATAAGCTATGTATATAGCTTAGTAAAATTGATACAAGAAGACATATATAATCTGTATAGTCTCATAAATGTTCAAGGAAATAAAGGATTCTTCCTAGAGATAAAACGCTAGGCTCAGATTTTTTTCCCCAGGCAGAGCATTTCAATATATATGAAGAATTCTATAGAATAAAAAAGGGAAAATCCTAAACTCATTGTGTGAAGCAAGCAGAACTTTGACGCCAACAAGACATAAACTGAGTGTAGAAAAAGATATGAAAATTAAGGCCATTCTCATTCCTGAAGCAAATCGTAAAATCCCAAATGTAACAAGATTTATGTGGATTCTTTGAGGGTTAGAAGGAAATTTCCTTCTGCCAGATCCTGCTACTCTGGGACAACCCACACACAAATTTATGTTTTGAGATTTTCTGTAATACCCATGCAATATGGAACTGGCTTGACAATCTGTGTGATAGCCAGCCTGTGGCCATGACTTCTTAGGGACACAAATCTTTTCTGTTTGCCTCCTTGTTCTGCTCAGCTCCAAGAGAACTTTGACCAAAGTTCCTTGAGCTTGGAAATAGGAATGGGTTTGCTTCTGTTTCACCCTTACTGTGAAGATACAGTCCGGTGGAATCCAGATCCACTGGGAGAGAGTCGGCTATTAAACTCTTTTCATGAGTAGTCCCTAGGCCTTGACTGGAGTCTTTCTTGAGATATGAGGCTAATAGTTCCTTCTTGGTCCACCACTTTTTGATATAATTAATGCTTCTTCTATTGGGAATTTTTAATTGTTTGGGAAGTGACATGGTTTGGTGTGTCTCCATTCAAATCTCAGCTTCAATTGTATCTCCCAGAATTCCCTCGTGTTGCGGGTGGGACCCAGGGGGAGGTAATTGAATCATGGGGGTCGGTCTTTCTCATGCTATTCTTGTGACAGTGAAGAAGTCTCACGGGATCTGATGGGTTTTTCAGGGGTTTCTGCCTCAGGTTCTTCCTCATTCTCTCTTGGCATTGCCATGTAAGAAGTGCCTTTATTCGTATACCATGATTCTGAGGCCTCCACAGCCATGTGGAACTGTCAGTCCAATTAAACCTCCTTTTATTCCCAGTTTCAGGTATGTCTTCTTCAGCAGCGTGAAAATGAACTAAGACAGGAGGTTTGGTCCAAATAACCTTGGCTTCCATGACAGAAGATAGAAGTTGCTGAAATGTTTAATCTTTTCTGTGGCAACCTTTTGCAGTGGGTCTTATTTTTCTCATTTTTTTTTCTTGTTCTCTTCACCTTTGTTTCTCACAGGGTACTCTCGCTCTGTAGACCAGGCTGGAGCGCAGTGGCAGGATCTCAGCTCAACACATCCTCCGCCTCCCAGGTTCAGCCTCTGCAGTAGCTGGGATTACAAGCATGCATCACCACGCTCAGCTAATGTTTTGTATTTTTAGTAGAAGCCAGGCTTCACCATGTTGGCCAGGCTGCTCTCCTACTACAGATCTCAGGTGACCCGCCCGACTCAGCTTCCCAAAATCCAAAGTGCTGGGAATACAGGTGTGAGCCACCGAGCCCAGCCAACTCCAGTACTTTTTACCTAAGCCAGTGGACGAGTGGAGTTGCCTTTATTTTTTTTTTTTCTTTTTTCAGTCATGGTCTCGCTGTGTCATCCAGGCTGGAGTGCAGTAGTCTGATCTTGGCTTACTATACAATCTCTGCCACCCATGTTCAGGTGGTTCTCCTGCCTCAGCCTCCCAAGTAGCTGGGACCACAGGAAAGTGCCACTAGGTCTGGCTAATTTTTGTATTTTTGGTAGAGACAGCTTTTTGCCATGTTGCCCATGCTGGTCTCCAACTCCTGACCTCAAGTGACCCACCAACCTCGGCCTCCCAAAATGTAGAAATTACAACAAGAGCCACGAAGCCTGGCCTGGAGTTGTGGCTTTTTGACATAAGAAATCTGTGGAGGGAAAAGCTTGGTTTGTGGGAGCACCCGAGCTCAGTTTGGCTCAAAGGTTTGGGATACCTATTATTGAGTGGCAGTGATGGTATGTTGTTAATGTACAATATGTTCCTGTATATAGCATACGTCTATGCTCATCAGATATTTTCAGGTAAAAAAAAGATAGTCTTTCCAGTAGTTTGAGCCATTATAGCAATTTCCACCAGGGGATTTCAAAGTCCAATTCCAGTTGTGGGCAACAGTGATTAACATAATGGTAATTAATGAGAAGAGATTTTGAGACGTCCAGCCACGTTTCCATGTCAGTGCCTTGTTTGCAGTATTATGAAGAAAGAGTGCATTGGACTAGATACTAAGAAAAACATTGAATTATTTTTCTTGCCTCTATAACATCAAAGGACAATTAGAGATATAGAAACTATGGAACATTTCACAGCATGGCTTGACATTTCACTGAACTTTTATCCTTTTAACCATGTACAAAGTTTGTTACCTATGCAAAGGTAGGACTGCAAAAGGAAGACAGAGGTGGAGTCAGAGGTCACAATCCACAGCAAGGTGACACTCTTGTTGATCGCACCTTGAAAGCCAAATTAGAGCGAGAATTAACTTTCCGGTTGCCGTAAGAGAACAAGGAGAATGAAGCTACCAGCAGTTAACAGTATTGGATTAATTGAAATGAAGGTGGACAGAGTTTTTTGGCTTTCCATCAAATTGAGTAAAGAAAAGGTAACCGCTTATCTAATTTCACACACATACAATTATGGATTAATTAAAAGATTACACAACCCATATATTATGGGTTTCTCATATAAGTGTATATATACATGGGCAAACTCACAGTGTGCCAGTATGTGTCTATATCCAAATATATACAAATCCATGTCCAACAGTTAGCAAGTGAGAAATTCTCTTCCATTTCACCATTCCCTTTCCTAGAATTTTTTCATAAATATAATTTTTCCATATATTTGAAGCCTACTCTCTGGAGGCATGTAATGCATGCATGCAGTAAACCTGTGCGATATCACAATGTTGGTGTCAGAGAAAACTATAACACCGATGTTATAAAAGATTAATTGTGAGGAGAAAGTTATGCTTCGCATTACTACAAATACACAAGTATGATTTCATCCAAAGCTGAAATCAGTCAATATAATTTGTTTTTAATGTTTTATTTAAAATCCTTAATTTCAACAGGATTACTCAAGAAAAATAACGTTATTGGTATTAAATAATGTTGACGTATTCCCTTTAATTGTTGATTATTTAAAATGTCAGTAAAATAGTAAATGGCACTGTACAATGTAGTTTCATGAAGCATTCTTTATAGTTTTCATAAAATTGATAGTCTCCATGGAATATTTTAAGACTGAGGAAGTTCCATATATCATTTGATTGTACTTTCACTTTATTACTTGCTTGCATGTCATAACTGATGGAAATAAAACTATGTATATTTACAAATATGAAAAACATGGATTTTTGTTTACGTTTTCTAGTGAGACACAGTTACCAATAATTTTATCTATATAGGAAAATTTTTACAAACCCAAAGTTCTAATGTTTCTTTTCTTTGAAGTTTCGTATTTCAGTCTAGGTATGTAATGGAATTGGCTGTGATCATTCTTTGATTTCACTGTTATTTGTGAGTTTCTGATATGCTTTTAGGAATGAATAGAGTTTAACGCTTGCTTTCTTCTTCTTCCTCTACCTTTGGACCTGTATATGCGATGTCTGCAGTAATGTGCAGTGCTATCTGACATACGGTTGCTGAAAGATACAAGCATATATAGAATTCTTCGTTTCAGTGAATCTTTAGGAACAGACAAGTAACCTGAGAGATAATTACGGTATGAATGTAAGCAAGCAGTTTATCATAGAGGTACAATAAGGGTGAAAATAAATTTAAAAATACATGCCTCATCCAAAACATGAGGTAGTAAAAATGAAAAATTTAAGTTGGCATAAAGAACACTTTAAAAGTTCTGATTCTTTCTGGTGAGAGCAAGGAGCTCAGAAACCATGAGAAAGTCCTTCAAAGCTGCATGTTGGATTTGCAGGTCAGGATGGAAAGCCTGGGTCTGGGGGAGGGTGCTAAGGTCCTGGTCAGGTTGAGGTCCTTCTGGGGCTCAGGTGTGTCTCAGCGGGAAAGCTGGGAAGGGGAAACGCATGCTTCACCCCGGCTAGAGTGCCACCTCAGCCCACCTAGATGAAATTGCCCCTTCACAGCCCTGTTTCTCCTTCTTGGACAGGCAGGTGGAGGAACTCGGCCACCCTGAATACAAGGGGTAGGAAGAAGTTTGCCTTTCATCACAACATTTACTTCGGAAACAAAGTGATGACTAAGGAGTATTGCGTTGGCATCCTCCCTGAGGAGTAGAGGGGGTAGTACCTCGGGAGCTGGGCCTGGCGTGCGCCTTCCTGACTCGTCTCCCTCCAGGATACAGGGCGACTGGCTCCACTGCAGTCCAGTGGTTCTAGGGTCATGCAGGTGAAAGCCCGAGTTTCCCGCAGGTCACTGCCTGAGCTTCTTCAGCTGGTTGTCTGACTGTGAGGGCCCAGGTTACGGCACGATTGCTGAGGTGGGACAGCTATGGGACATCATGGCAAAGGACCTTCTTCGACATTCCTTGGCATCGGAGGAATTGGCTTTGAACCAGAACCTGACCTGTCACGACCAATTTGCCCAGTCCACCAGATCATCAGCCAGGGCCTGTGGCTCTATATTCTGCAGCACTACCCAAGGGAGTTAGGCCCTCAGAGAGGGAACAGAGAAGAGGCCAGGGAAGCAGCCCAGGGCTGGGGGTTGACAGGCCTGTGGGTCCTGGAGTTAGGACACACATAGAGAAGCCAAGGCTCAGGGAGGAGACTGCAGTAAGGAAACTCAGGCCATCATGGGCTGGTGGAGAAATGCCCATCAGGGAACTGTGGTACCCACATTTCACGATGGGGGAACCGTAATCTGCTTAATAGGCATAAGTAGCTAAGGTCAATGGGTGGGAAGCCAGGGTCAAGAGATAGCTGCCTCATCATCCCTTGCTAGCTACTTCCCTGTCCTGAGGCTTGCTTCTACCTGGGGTTCAGTTTGGGCTCAACCAGGGATCTCTCACCCTCCACACAGATGCCCACCTGAGGCCTCTCTAGGTCTGCGTCCTCCCAGAATGACTCTCCCAGGCCTGCTAAGTACCGTTTGGATGACACCACGCTCCACTGACATGCTTGGTTCCCTCCGCCATCCTCATTCACCCAGCAACTCCCCACCCCAAAAAAGGCAGGCCACCGCACAGGGAATCTGGAGGACCACACAGGGCTCACAGGGGAGGAAATGTGAAGAGATGGCAAAACAGAACAGGACATTCCGTGTGTTTCCAGAAGGCAATCTGGCTGGATATTAAGGCCCACCTCAGTATTGGTGAGGACACCCAGTGTCTCTTGGCCCTGAGCATGTGCACACAAACACGCACATTGTCTAAACGGCATTGACATCACTACTACCTGAGTCATCCTCAGATTCTATACAACCCCTTTAAAAATATCAATGACACATTCTTCTTAGAAAACAATCTGGGAATCCCAAATTTGCTATGAAATGGCAGAAGATCCTGAAAACCCAGAGCAATCCAGTAAAAAGCACAAAGCTGGAGCCACCCCACTACCTAACTTCATGATATACTACTACAAAACTTTTTGTACCAAAATACAATAGCACTGGCAGAAAAGCAGAGACTAGAGCTTAGGAAAAACAACAGGAGCCCAGAACTAAGTCACTGCATTTGCAGCTCACAGCCTTTTCCCAAAGAAGCAAGAACGCCCAATGCAAAATCAAGTATCTTCTATAAACTAGGTTGGGGAAATCTGAATAGCCACACAAAGGATTTTACAAGTGGATTATTTATCACCAAACTCCAGTGTCAGATGTGAAACGATAAAAATAGCAGAAGAGATCACAAGGAAGAAGCTCCATGGCGTCCGTGTGTGCAATGATGGTCTCAAAGTGACTGCAAGAACACAGTAAACACCATCAAAAATAGAGAATGGAATCATATCAAACTAAAGTGCTTCACCACACCATAGAAAACTCAACATACAGAAGGGGCATCCTACAGGATGGGAGCAATGATTGGATCACCATACATCTGTTCATGGGGGAATAGTCACAGTACATAAGGAACTCCCAACAACTCAATAGCATGAAAACAAATGGGCGAAGGCTGCGAAGACTCATTTGTGAAACTGAGACATACAGTTGCCCAGAAGACACACTAAAAATTCCTCATTATCCCCAATCCATCACGAAAATGCAAATCAAAAACACAATGAGATTTCTTCTCACTTCAGTCAGAATGCATATTATCCGAAAGACAAACAAACAAAAAAAAAAAAGAAAGAAAAGAAAACCCTAATCTCTGGTGAGGAGGCAGAGAAAACGAATTCCCTGCTCACTTTTGGGGAGAATGTAAATTAGTGCTGGCATTAAAGAAGCTTTATGGCTCTTATTTAAGTATAAACAGCCTTCAGAAATCTACAAGTAGAACCACCCACTATATGATCCAGCAAATCAGAATACCCGGGCACGCCCGCCAGTACACAGATCAGTATGTTGAAGCGGTGCGCGCACCCATGCAATTATTGCTGCACTCATTACATTTTTGCTGTAGCCAAAATGCGGAAGCAACCTGAGTGTCCCTCCATTGATAAGTGGATTAAAAAATGGGGCAAAAACGCATATGCGCAACGGAAATATGCGCTGCAATAAGAAATCAGGAAATCCTGCCAGTTGTGAGAATGTGTGGGAATCTGCTGAATGTGTGCATGCCATTCTGTTAAGTGACATAAGCCAGGTATCAGAAAGGAAAATAGCACATGATCTCATTCTTATATGAAATCAAAAAAGCGGACTTCACAGAAGTAGTGACTCCAATGACTGCGGTGAAGAGGGTGCACTGACGAGATGCTGGATGAAGAACTCATACTTCTAGTTATAAAGGAGGAATAGGTTAAAAATATTTTCTTCAGCATGCTCACTATAACTAGTGGTAACATATTCTTTCTCTAAAAATATTCGAATACAGTGCAGGTCAAGTTTTTTCACAACAAAAATGACAACTATGTGAGGTCACACATATGTTGATTGGCTGGATGTATCCAATGCATAATGTATATGACCTGTTGAACATCACGCCTTAAGTTGTAAATATGTATCATTTCATATGACATTTTTTAAACAAACATACAATTTTTAAAATGCCTTAACAAAATAAATGCAAATAAAATATTTTATTATAAAGCAGTGCTTTTCTTTTCTAGCAAAGTCTTTTTCATGACACAGGAAAGAATGCAAGCCGTTTCGTAACTTGAGAAATAAATACATATGTGTACATGTATATATATACGTATATACATGTATATACGTATATAAATGTGCATATATACGTATATACATGTATATACGTATATATGTGTGTACATAGGTATTCTTATATAGGTGTATATATATATGAAAATCCCAATGAATGCTGATGATGAGTTGAAAGATAGAAATTCCAGGCACAGAGACTATAGTCCATGAATTGAAACCTTCAGTGCATGTTTCAAAACAAGACGTGAGGAGGAGGAAGAAAAAAGCAAAAAACACAAAGCCATGGCAGGGCCATGGGTCACACCTGTCATCCCAGCACTTTGATAAGCTGAGGTGGGAGGATTGCCTGCACTCAGGAGTTCCAGATGAGCCTGGGGCAACATGGACCCACATTCAAAAAGTAAGTATTTAGTTAATTAATACATAGCTTGGAGGGGTGGCATGCACCTGTACTGCCAGGTGTGTGAGAGTCTGAGTTGACAGGATCACATGGGTGTGTGGTGCCTGGGCTGCAGTGGGCTGAGATCGTGGGGCTGCTGTCCAACCTAGAAGACAGAGTAAGACCCATTCTCGGAAAACAAACAAAAAAACAGTCACATTAGGTAAATTAAAACTATGTAGTGTGAGGAGAATCAAAATAAACGAAACATCATTAGAGCCTACGCGATGTGATGAAGGAAACCAGCTTTCACATAATAACAGCCCCGGCTGGGGAGAACAATGAGAAAGGGCAGAGAGAACCCTGTAAATAATACCACGCCAAATTCCCCAAATGAGTTAAAACACATAAAAGTACGAAGAGTGCTTCTTTTCAATTCAATGCCCTTGAATTCAGAATTAGAAAGGAAACCCAGATAGAGAATAGAAAGATAGACGATACAGATGGAGAGAGTGTGGTGGGGAAGCAAGGGAAGGATGAAAGGGGTGTAAAGGAAGGAAAAGAAAAAAGGAAGGGAGAGAGAGTGACAGATGTTCAAAGACACAGATACAAAGTCTACAATGGTTGTAGAGATAGGCATGTGCAAATTGTCGCAGGGAGTGTGGAAAAATATCGGAACCACGGAGACACAGGTGGAGTCAGAGAAAATATACAAACCCGCACAGAGAAATAAACATACGCAACCACAAACACACACGTGCTACTTTAAACACGAAAAGACACCAAGTCCCTGTCGGTACAAATCACAGATGTGCTTCCGAGTTACTGAGGCACGGTGCAAATTTGTCAGTGCCCTTAGCATCTGTGGCCCACGTGCACGGATATTCAGTGGAAGAAGCATTACACAGCCTGTATAATTCAGCACGATCTGTGATAATACCAGAAGAAGGGATCTCATGTGAAATCACTAGACTGAATTGCACGTAGGATTCAAGGAAGAAGCCCAGTCTGCTGCATTCACTCGGTGGGGTGGCAATATGGCTGAGCCACCAACCCGTGGCACGCCCATCCATCGTAGACAGTTCCTGGTTTGCTACCTGCCTTGGAAAAAGCTCCTCCCCTACCACCACTTTAAAACAGGCTAGCTCCAAAACTAGCCCTGGCATCTATTTACGGTCATTTTCTTATCTATTTACCTCCTAGAAAAATCATTGCAAGACCCTTTCCTCAACATTTTCCTATGCCTTAAATTTGGGGCAACACGTTTTAAGACGACCTCGTTATAGGCAAGTCCCCAGACGTTTCCTAATCTGAGTTGCCCAGAGTGCACACACCAATCTGTTGCCCCATTGCCGCTATAGGGATACCGTACTGGACCACAGTGTCTTTGACATGCACACAGTAGGATACAGGGCAGCTTGAGGGGGCCAAAGGGTTCCGACTGTTTTCAGAATAATTTGCTTAGAACACCTGTTTCTCCTGTGTTTGTGGGTCAGGGGGACGGTAGTCAGAGGAGGACAAGACTCCCGCTCCAGAGCTTCAGAGGTCTGCATAGGAGCAGGGACAAAACCGGGCGATAGATTTTCAAAGCTCAACTGCTTTGACACCGAGCAGGAGGGGTAGAATGCATATTGCAGGCACCACAACAGATTCAGGAACTTTGACTGTCAAACCCTCTTCCCTGAAACAACATAGCTCTTCTCACAGAAGCTGTGCTGACCAGAGTCTATACGGGACAGCAATGTTAGCACTCTAGTAGCGTGTGGTCAACATGGATGCTCGTGTTGGAACTGTTTCATCTGGGAACAGGAAAGAAAGTTCTGCCTCCGACACTGAAATCCTCCTGCCCCATCCTTGACAGAGGCAACCCCTTGTCTTGTGCAGACACACGTGTTCCTGGGAAGCAGCCTCCCACTCGCGAATGAAAGCTGTATGTTTTGTCCTCCTGTGTGAGGCTTGCAAAACATATTCCGCAACTATATTCGCTTTACGTTCTAAACCTTAGGCAAACTATGCTGAAGAGGCCACAGAAAATTTAGGGGCCCTGGGCTCCAGATACAATCTGCAGTGCCAATCACGAGGGAGAATAGAGCCTCACTAGACTTTGCAAGAGCACAAAATGCACTCGTACTGTTGTTAGCTACATACGTTATTGGCTCCTCACCTAACACAGAATCTTGGAGAAAAGCTTAAAACAACTAAAGATGTAAACATCAACAAGAGTGTCCATATCCTGGGTCATCAAGTGACAAGAGAGTCCATGGATGGATTCTCCAACAATCTTATATTCCACTAATCCACCCCCTTTCCCCTCACTTCTGTAAGTTTCTGTTTTCCCTTAGTCATCTATGCCAAAAGCGTATCCTGAATGCCTTCCCACATGCCTCTGTCACCTTTCCCACAGTCCCTCCATACACCTTACATGCCCATTTCTTCTCACGTTGATGTTTCAGAAGTCCTGAGAGGCTGATTGTCCCAGAAAAGGATCATGCATTCACCTTTAAAAGAACATGTGGATTCAACACGAAAGCGAACTTTAAGATTTCCATCATCCTGTGCTTAGCTACTGTGTATGATGATACCCAAAATGAAGGATTTTGGAGGTCCCAGCAAACTGGGCCCTGGAAACCCAGTAACCCCTTTCCTTGAACTATCTCTGCTTCCACAGGACGAAGTCAGCCTCCAACTAAGCTGTCTTTTGCTTTTACCTCTCCCACTCTGTCCTGTAGGAAGAATCCCAACACATCCCACACCCATTCACTCTACAACTTTAGAGGCCCAGCTCCAACGCAGACTGGTTATTTCCATTAAGAGAATAAAGCACGTGGATTGATCAATTCATTATGACACCCGAATAAAGTGGATAAACATACACACACACACACACACACACACAAACTCAAAGACACACACACACACACACAGACACAGAGTCACACATCCTTGAGAATGTTTATTTTTCATTCCATACAATCCACATTTACCCCCTCTTCCTGAATTTTTGTGACTCGATCTCTTTTTCCTTTAGTTCCTGTGCATAAGACCATGCTGAGTACTGCCGTCCTGCATATGGCTGTAACTTTTTAGGAGTTCTGCTGTATTAGGTAAAATCTGATGCTCCATCATATTCAACTCAACAACTGGGAGTCCCCTAGAGAAACACAAACTCATGTTAAAACGCATTTTCTCTGAGCCATACTTTGAAATGTTTCAATTGTGGGGCCCGCTGAGAAAAGGATATCCCTTCCCCATTTGTGATCCCTTAAACTTCCTCCTACCACGTGTTACAAACTGTTCTGCGCAATCCCTGCCCCATTCCCAGTATTGTCTGTGAGGGGAGTCAGCTAACAAGATGCACTGGGCCCTAAAAGCACACACAAGTCTGATGGGGCAACAGCTTAAGGAAATCCATCAATCTAAACAGTCCTTTGTGGTTTGGGGCAAGGATGACCAGGACGCACATTCAGGGAGCCCAATCTCATGGGGTTGGTGGGATGACTGCCGGTGGGGTTGACAGCCGTGGAATCAAGTGCCACAGACTGAACTGAATGATTTTCAGCTTTACTTCTCATTGATTCTGGAAATGGACGATTCTTCACTGGGCTTAAGACTCCACAGCTATCACCCGCTTTGCAGTGCAGTCTCTAACGTGCCTTTTCAGCCCAATGCCATGAACGTCCTGGATTCTGTCACTCTCTGTCTTCCTCTCAAGGAATTTCTACATGTACGAAAGGAGCCTCAATTTCTACATTTCTGAAATGAGCACCCAGGCTCCCTGAATAGGCAGGTGTGTCAACCCCCTTATACTGGGCATCAAACAGCTCCAGTGCCAACTAACGGCTCACCTGACGTCTCTGTTCCCTCTTCAGGTGGCTTCATCCTCTTGTAGTATTGCAGGGGATTGCGCCACAGGTCCTTACATAGGATCTGTCAGGGGACTCAATCGGGAAAGGCCTCATCAGGGCTCAGAAAGGTGACCCAAGCAGCTGGGAACACACGGGGTCATTCCTCATGTTTCCCAGTGAGGACTCACCTCAGCAATCTTGTTAGATCCTGCGAAGTTGTGGTCAGAGAACCAGTTGAAGAAGTTAAGGCTGCTGTTGTGGTGTCTGCGGCGATAGGCCTCCACTTCATAATCCGGATACCACTCAATTGGAGTGGAATGAGAAGCCCTGTATTCTACAGAGACAGGAGTTTTTGTGGGAAGGGGGCTGGATCCCGTTGGCAATGATCCACCCACCATCTTCCTTCCACTACCCATCCTGGGAGCCACCTGTCACCTGTGATGTTCACCAGATATTCCTTGGTAATCACTTTATTCTGGAAGTAGGGGTTACTCCGAAAGAACAACATGATCTTGCAGAGATGAACAGGATGCTTCTCTTCTTCCACCTGTCAGGACAAGGTGGAGAAAGCTTAGATAGGTTTTCGGGTGAGGTGCTCACTCTTGCTTACAGGAATGAATTATTTCCCTTACCCTCCCCCGCTAAACCCTCTAGCCCCAGTCTTCCTGGCCTCACCTCCAGGCTGACCATGTAGCTCAGCATGTCTTCATCTTCGTCAGTGATCAGGGCTGACATCTGGGGGTGGTTTGCAATCTGATTTAGGTCAAAGAGACTTTACACACGATGGAAGGGAAAGCGAGGAGCAACAGGGAAGAAGGCCTAAGAGCACCCAGAGGCTGGGGTAGGGGATTTCTCAGATCTGCTTCCATGTATGATCTCCTTTCGCCTCCCCCTCCCCTTAAACTAAGGCCTCCTGTGTTCACAGAGGGTGTATGATTCTGAGGCTGACTGCACTGACATGGGGAGGCGCGATTTGCAGAGACTTGCTGGTGTCTGAGGAGTGGCAGAATCTGCTTATAGCCGAAGACGCCCAGTCCCAGATCGGACTAGCAAGGGGCAGCAATCACACTCCCTTAAAAATAGCTTCATTCACTGAAAAACCTCTTCCGCTCTGAACTCGCTTCTGCTCTTCAAAAAGATGCCCCAAACGTCTGCTGCTCGGCATCACCAAGGGTTTCTCTGCCGCATGCAGGACAATAGTACCCACGCCTGCTCCGGCTTTCCACAGCCACACTGGTCCGTGGCAACTCCCCTTTGTTCCCCAAAGAGTCACATCGACGCCGAGCTGCCCATCGGTCACTTACACTTCCCCGAGAGCACCTCTCCACTAGAAAGGCCGAAGAAACACTGAGAAGGATACAACATTGGCCCAGAAGCCAGGGACGCTCTGGATGACGGCGCCTCTGCGGTCTAGGTGGGGCTTGCGCCTCCGCTCCATCTTTTCCCGCTGCCGAGAAAAGGCCTTCCTGGCTTGGGCATTAACCGGCTCCAGCTCCACCTGAACGGCCAGCAGCTCCTCCAGTGCAGACTCTGGGGTCATGGGCCCAGGGCCAGGCACAGCCTGCTGTGCCCGCTGGGCCTCCTCCCGCCGCTCCACGAGGCCCTCCTCCTCCGCCACCACCTCCACCTCCGCCATTATGTCATCCAACAGCAGCACCGCCTCCTCCCCCAAAGCCGCCTGCTCACTCTCCACCCCGGCCGCCCCCTCCTGCACAGCCTCCATCCTGAAGGCGGTGCCCTCCTTGGCACTCGCACACACCAAGGCCTGTGCTGCCCGACCCACGCCACAGAAACCCTGCCGCAGCCTCTCTGGCACCCGGTAGGTCAGCGAGCCCTCAGGGCGCATGCGCCGGGCTTCCAGGCGCCCCCTAAGGGACTGCGCGCGAAGGGCCGGGGGGCCGCACCCAGGCCGACTTCCTCCCGTCGTGGCCAATCAATGGGAGGGCGGTGGGCGTCTCCCTGGGCGGCACAGCCACTGGCGGGCCTGCATCTCCAGCCCCCCCACCCCCCGCCTTCCCTGCCCAAGCCTCCTCCGAGAAGCCCTTGGAGCTTGTGCCGGGTAGCTAGGCATCCGGGCACACGCGGGCTGCGTGGCCTTTGGAATTGTGGGCATGGCAGCCCTGTGCCCTGACATCCTCAGTGTGGCAAGCCATGAACATCTCTATGTGTCATGAACACAGGAAACATCTCTCTTCGTTAGGCAGGCCAGGTAGATGGTACGGAGGTAATACAGCAGATGCAGAGAACTCTCTCTGGTTGCTGGGGCTAGGGCGGCAGGGGTGTCCTGGGGGAAGTGATCGGGGCGGGCACGTGGGAGGAAAGTCGCCTGCCGGTGCTGAGGTGGAATTGATCTGCTGTAGAGGCCAGAGCCCCGGCACACACTCTCACAGGTCGAGGCAAATAGAGGCTCCGAGTACCATGCTTCCTCCCTGAGGATGCTGTACTCCAAGGAGCATTCCAAAGGGCCTCTTGTCCTATGCCCTGGGCACACCAGAGGCCAGCCGCCAGGGTTGGCCATTGTCGGCCTGCGCGCACGCTGTTGTGCGCTGCCTTGACGACCCAGAGGCTCCCGCACCCGCAGCAGCGGTTGCGGTGCCTGTTGGTGGGGCTCTGCAAGCCCAGGGCCGGGGCCTCTGGCTCCCGAGCTCCTGTGCGCAGTTGAGCCTGCTGGGGACCGGAGCCCTTTGGCCAGTGCGGGATCTGCGGGTCCAGCGGAGCTCCTCAGGAAACCTGGGTCCACGTAGGTGTGGGACCAGGTTCACAGCAGGGCGACGCCCGTGGGTCTTGCAGGGAGCGGGTCTGCTGGGGAGCGGGCCCCCAGAGCCTACGGGTGCGGGGCATGGGCTGGGCTGGGCTGGGCTGCGCAGGCCCAGGGTCTGTGGGAGCACCCAGGAGAAAACCGTGTTCAGGCTGGAGGCAATGCTGGAGAGGACGGCCGGGGTACAGAGCAAGGAGGCGGCCTTGGAAGAGGAGGCGGTGCTGAAGGTGGAAGACATCATGGCTGAGGTGGAGGTGGTGGTTGAGGTGGAGCCCGACGTGGGGTGGCAGAAGGAGGGCCAGCGGGCACAGCCTGGCCCTGGACCGAGCACACCGGGGCCGTCAATGGACTCGCTGGAGGTCCTTCACTTGGAGCTGGGCTCCGTGAATGCCCCAGGCCACAGAGCATCTCCGCCTTGTGAGCCAGAGCCATATCCTTGCGGCTGCCGATTTGGGATGGCGGGCAGCAGGGGATAGTCATCGGGCCTCGGGGGGTATGGGGGCTGTTTGGGGGGAGGAGCCAGGTGGGAGGCACGTGGGGTCAGCCAGGAGGCAGGGGATGGGGGACAGCGTGGGAGCCGAGGCCACGTTCCCGCAGCTGTGAGGGCAGCTCGCTTGTAGCAGCCCTGGGAGCACGTGGTAGGGAAGGGGAGCCAGGGCCAGCACTGACAAGGGAGAATCGCGGCGCCAAGGTCCCTTTGCGCACAGCCCAAATTCGAAGGACGCGTTTCCCTGGGAACGTCCCTGGAGGACGGGGAATCTGTATGCCATTACCAGCCATTGAACCACCCCTGCTCTCGGTGCCTGTTTCCAGCAGGCTCACCCCAGAAACACAAGGTGCTTAAGACGGGTTCGCGGCGCATGGGGCTGCCGACCACCTGACGGCGGGCACCAGCTCCGCAGATGCGCATTCATCCAACTGCAGGCGCTGCACTCAAAGGCGTGTAGGCCCTGAGCCTGTATAACTTCCTCTGGACCCACGCAATTCCCTTGGAGAGCGCCAGGCACGACCCTGCTGTGGCTTCTAACTACAAGGCTTCCCTCAGGTGGACAGGCCCACCCCTCAGGGAGACTAGGATAAGAGGACACCACACACCCGGACATCAGCGGAGCATGTCCAGCACCCAGCACACAAAGGCCTCCTGCATCTCAGAAACTCAGAGAAGCAGCCGCCTCACACCACCCCCGGTCCCTCCCGTCCCTCAGCTGCAACCACCTGCCCACTTTTTCTGCCTCCCGTCTCTGGTCAGCCCAGGCCGTCTTGGCCGGGGTCCACCCACTCCAAAAACCACCACAGTTGTGGCGTTGCCTCCTCGCCAGACAGAGATAGAGGGCCAACAATGAAGGGTGACTGGCCAAATGTCTGGGAGATGGCCCTGTTCCACATTGTCTGTGTTCTTGCGAAATTGCAAGGCGTCACGAGGCTTGCCCACCCAATCCTCTGGAGAGTTCTTGCGCAGAGGTAGATTGTTTGGCACACGAGATGTCGGCGTGGGTCGGAAAGCATGCGGAAGTCCTGCTTTGCTACGTGATGGATTTGCAGGTCAGGCTGGGGAGCCTGGGTCTGTGGGAGGAGTCCAGTGTCTGAGTCAGTTTGAGGTCCCCCTGGGGACCAGGGTTGTCTCAGTGGGAGAGCTGGGAAGGGGAAACTCATGGTTCACTACAGCTAGTAGGCCACCTCAGCCCAGCTAGTTGAGATGGTCCCATTGAATCCATCCTCTTTCTCCTTGATCCGGCAGGTGGAGGAACTCAGCCATCCCGGTTACCGGTGGCAGGATGATTTCCTTTCATCCCAACCTTTATTTCCACAGTGAAATCATCATGAAGGAGCACTGTGTTGGCATCCTCGGTAAGGAATGCCTCCCAGCATGGTAGGGGAGCTGGTGTGTGGGAGGGTGGGACTGGCATGAACCTTCCTGACTCCTCTCCCTGCAGGCTACAGGGTGTCTCATTCCACTGCAGTCCAGCGGTTCTGGGATCACGAAGGTCAAGCCTCCAGCTGCAGGCAGTACACCTCCTACCTGAGCTCATTCAGCTGTTTGGCTGAACATGACTGCCCGGGTTTTGGCAGGATTGCTGAGGTGGGGTTCGCCATGGGGCATCATGGGAAAGGACCTAGCTGGTCATTCCTTGGTCTCTGGGGAATTGGCTTTGAACTGTCACCTGAACTGTCCTGGACCCACTTCTGCAGTCCCCTAGATCATCAGCCAGGGCCTATGGCTCAATCCATTGCAGTTCTATCCCATGGAGAGAGGGTCAGCCCTAGAGGCGGAACAGAGAGGAGGCCAGGCGAGCAGCCTAGGGCTGGGAAGGGCTGGGAACTGAGAGGCCTTTTGACCTGGATCTGGGCCCCACATGGAGAACCCAAGGATCCGGGAGGAGACTGCAGTGAGCAATCCCAGGCAATCCGTGGGTTGGGGGAGAGAGGCCCATCAGGGACATGTAACACCCACATTTCAGGATCGGGGCACCTTAAGCCACTATGATGCATATGTGGCTAAAGTCAGTGGGTGACAAGCAGGGCTTAAGGGATAGCTGTCTCATCATTACTCGCCAGCTCCCTGCCCTGCGGTAAGACCTGCTACCACCTGGGGCTCATTTTGAGATCAACCAGGGCCCCCTTTTTCTCCACGAGGATGTCCACCTGAGGCCCACCTAGGTCTGTGTCCTTTCACAGTGTTTCTCCCAGGCCAGTCATGTTTTGTTTCCATGACCCCGGCTGCCTTGACATGTGTAATCCTCTCTGCCATCCTCACTCCCGCTGCCCTGCCTTCCCATATAAGTTAGTCCACCTCACACGGAATCTGGAGGACCACACTGGGCTCCAGTGTGAGGCAATGTTTTATTTTCTTCAGGTACATGTATTTTAGGGCTACCTCCAGGGCTGGGAATGTGAAGAGATTGCCAAATGGCTGGGGACCTTCAGTGTGTGTCCAGGGAGGGAACCCGGCTGGGAATTAAGGCCCACCTGAGTAATGGTATGGACATCCAGTGTCAGTTATCTTGATAAAGGCCTGCTTTCTTACATCACCTACTATTAATATAAAAGTTAATTCCTTAGAATATTGAAAAAACAAATCTATGTATGAAGAAATATAATTTGTTCATAATTGTATGGAAAAAACTGCCGACTGATCCATTTTCCATTACAATTCTTATGGGAGACTTGAAGTGTTCAGCAAGTTTTAAGATGCATTTCTATTCGTCTACTCCTGCCAGTTTTTATGATCATTTTTGTAATACAAGGACATGGCCTCTGGAAAGTTTTTGAGGGACTTTCAGCTTCTTTTAGGGTAGATACTTGTAAATTTTGAATTGTTTTCCCCTGCGGTTCTTTTGAGGTTACTCTTTGTACTTTCTTTGGGGGGTGTTAAATTTGTTTTCTTGTTTCGCCCTTGTGGAACTTTTCAGCCAAGGAATTGTGTGTGTGTGTGTGTGTGTGTGTGTGTGTGTGTGTGTGTGTTAGATATGGGAGTTAGCCTGTGAGCATGTTTTCGAATACGGATTTTTTTTTTACTTATCAATTTTGGGGGTGTGTGTGTGTGTGTGTGTGTGTGTGTGTTTGTTTCTTTTCAGTTGGAGTCTCACTGTGTCATCCAGGCTGCAGTCAAGTGGCAAACTCTCAGATCACTGCAACCTCTCCCTCCAGCTTCAAAGGATTCCTCTGCCTGCTGATGCTGTTTTTCCCCCACATGAGGAGAACATGCAGACAGTTATAAAAAATTCTGTGCCTGGGTAGGTATGAAAATATAATTTCAATGAATGGTAAATTTCACAAATACAGTTTCACATTTGTATTTTGCAACATTTTGAAAATTTTAGTTGCTGACACATGAAATTCTGTGTTGACTTTCATGTTAAATGTACACTTTTGAATCAATTTCAACAGTGACAACTAGCGAAGGCCAAGCGTTCGTTCAGGAAGCTGAAAGCAGTCGTTCTGTAAAAAAAAACGATATTTATTGAAGGTATATTTAGAGAGATTTTAGAAGGCTTCAGTCAATATTTTTGTTTCTGTTGCTCTGGTGTTTTATCATACAGGGACCAGACTGTAGCATCAGTAGCTATAGTTACAAGGCTACCAAAGGCTCAGTGCTATAGAAATTATTATTGTGGAAATTGGCAGCCTGGCTGTCTGTTTGAGGAGACTAGAGGACTTAGGAGTTTCCACCCAAAGTACAAGGGCCTGGTTTAGTGGGTGGCCTTCTTTTGCTGAAGTAGATAAGATCCAGGAGAAGGGTGGATTCACTGTAGTAGCCAGGGCTTTGAGACTGGTAAAGCTTATTTGTCTCCTAGTGCCATTGCCAGATATTGGTCTGTGCATAAAGGCACTTCCCGGACTCGCTGACTCCTGTAAATTCAAATGTAGAATTTAGATTTAAATCCCTATTCCAACTTCTTAAACTTAGATCTAATAGGTGGGTAATAAAATATGTATTCAGAAGAAAGGGAGACGTCAGGTAGGTATATAAGCAAATCATCCTGGTCAAATACCTTCAAAAATATTACTACAAAAAATTACTGAAGATTAAACCTTAAAAAAGTTATTTTAATTGGAGAAACAGAAAAAGGTTGGAGTCATTTTAAACCCTGAGGTGTAAAGGTACTGTTATTAGATTACAGGAATTATATACAATGAATAATTTGTGGGAAGAGCAGCATACTATCTCTTTAGTATGGCTAGAGATTCATAAGCCGTGTAAGAAAACTCAGAGATTGAGAAGAAAATGTTTTCAGGGATTTTGTTCTGTTATGAAAGACTTTTAAAATGGTTTCCTACTGATCAATGATTCACTTATATTTATCACTGAGGCATATGCTATATACCCTTCTATATAGGGATGAAGTTATAGTTTCTATCATGTAGATACAAAAACATGTGACTCTGTACCACATTTGCATTAGAGCCTTTGGCATGATTAATGAAGCAAACGGTGGAACTGTCTACGTCAGGTTACAGGTGGGCACAGCTGGAAGCTTCCGTCCCTTGCACTTTAACATTTCTGCATTCTCATCTGTCTCTCCTGGAAAGAAAACGGACTATAACTATCCTAAAGGACATATGTTACATGAAGACACTAAGTATTGAGATAAGACCATGAGTTGTCTTATCAGTGTCTTGGCATTACATTTATATGTATAACTTATACAAAAAATCCAGTTTATTTTATCACGATTACATATTACATCCCACATTTATGTATTTTATTATCTTTCCAGTGACTGTTTTGTTTTGTTTTGTTTTGTTTTGTTTTGAAATCTCGTTCCACTCTGTCACTCAGTCTGGAATGCAGTGGCCTGATCTCAGCTCACTGCAACCTCCATCTCTTGGGTTCAAGGATTTTAAAAATTAGTAAAGAATTTTCAATTGAGTTAGCAGAAGTAAAAATAAACTTAAGTGGAAATAGAACAACAAAATTGTAAACACTATTTCTCAGCAATTCATAGATTATCATACTAGGAATTGAAATGTACTTAGAACTCAATGATACCGCCAATATTAAAGATTAAATCTGTGAGTAGCAAGAAAAGTGATATTACAATAGGAGTTTACAGACAAATATTTCTCTAATAACTTGAAAATTAATGTACTAGATATTTCAATAAAGAATTAGAAAAGAAACAACAGAATCAATTCTGAAAAACTAAAGTGTGGGAATAATGATGTAGACAAAATTAGTAAAACATACAAAGCTAACCTTTGCTTGTTGGAGAAATATAATAAATGATGCAACCGTCAGTCAAGTTTAGAAAAAAAGGGAGAAAACATAGATAAAACTAAGAATTTAAAAGGTACACAACCATAGATACAGCATAGATTAAGAAGCTAATAAGGAAATATCGTTAACACCTTAACCTACAAATTTGAAAACTTAGATCAAATAGACAGATATTTATAATCTGTCTATATATATAGACATATATATCGCTTTCTATATATATTTTCATATTTATACATAATTTTTATATTTGTATCTTACATTTATATATATAATATATAAACATAAGCTATGTATATAGCTTAGTAAAATTGATACAAGAAGACATATATAATCTGTATAGTCTCATAAATGTTCAAGGAAATAAAGGATTCTTCCTAGAGATAAAACGCTAGGCTCAGATTTTTTTCCCCAGGCAGAGCATTTCAATATATATGAAGAATTCTATAGAATAAAAAAGGGAAAATCCTAAACTCATTGTGTGAAGCAAGCAGAACTTTGACGCCAACAAGACATAAACTGAGTGTAGAAAAAGATATGAAAATTAAGGCCATTCTCATTCCTGAAGCAAATCGTAAAATCCCAAATGTAACAAGATTTATGTGGATTCTTTGAGGGTTAGAAGGAAATTTCCTTCTGCCAGATCCTGCTACTCTGGGACAACCCACACACAAATTTATGTTTTGAGATTTTCTGTAATACCCATGCAATATGGAACTGGCTTGACAATCTGTGTGATAGCCAGCCTGTGGCCATGACTTCTCAGGGACACAAATCTTTTCTGTTTGCCTCCTTGTTCTGCTCAGCTCCAAGAGAACTTTGACCAAAGTTCCTTGAGCTTGGAAATAGGAATGGGTTTGCTTCTGTTTCACCCTTACTGTGAAGATACAGTCCGGTGGAATCCAGATCCACTGGGAGAGAGTCGGCTATTAAACTCTTTTCATGAGTAGTCCCTAGGCCTTGACTGGAGTCTTTCTTGAGATATGAGGCTAATAGTTCCTTCTTGGTCCACCACTTTTTGATATAATTAATGCTTCTTCTATTGGGAATTTTTAATTGTTTGGGAAGTGACATGGTTTGGTGTGTCTCCATTCAAATCTCAGCTTCAATTGTATCTCCCAGAATTCCCTCGTGTTGCGGGTGGGACCCAGGGGGAGGTAATTGAATCATGGGGGTCGGTCTTTCTCATGCTATTCTTGTGACAGTGAAGAAGTCTCACGGGATCTGATGGGTTTTTCAGGGGTTTCTGCCTCAGGTTCTTCCTCATTCTCTCTTGGCATTGCCATGTAAGAAGTGCCTTTATTCGTATACCATGATTCTGAGGCCTCCACAGCCATGTGGAACTGTCAGTCCAATTAAACCTCCTTTTATTCCCAGTTTCAGGTATGTCTTCTTCAGCAGCGTGAAAATGAACTAAGACAGGAGGTTTGGTCCAAATAACCTTGGCTTCCATGACAGAAGATAGAAGTTGCTGAAATGTTTAATCTTTTCTGTGGCAACCTTTTGCAGTGGGTCTTATTTTTCTCATTTTTTTTTCTTGTTCTCTTCACCTTTGTTTCTCACAGGGTACTCTCGCTCTGTAGACCAGGCTGGAGCGCAGTGGCAGGATCTCAGCTCAACACATCCTCCGCCTCCCAGGTTCAGCCTCTGCAGTAGCTGGGATTACAAGCATGCATCACCACGCTCAGCTAATGTTTTGTATTTTTAGTAGAAGCCAGGCTTCACCATGTTGGCCAGGCTGCTCTCCTACTACAGATCTCAGGTGACCCGCCCGACTCAGCTTCCCAAAATCCAAAGTGCTGGGAATACAGGTGTGAGCCACCGAGCCCAGCCAACTCCAGTACTTTTTACCTAAGCCAGTGGACGAGTGGAGTTGCCTTTATTTTTTTTTTTTCTTTTTTCAGTCATGGTCTCGCTGTGTCATCCAGGCTGGAGTGCAGTAGTCTGATCTTGGCTTACTATACAATCTCTGCCACCCATGTTCAGGTGGTTCTCCTGCCTCAGCCTCCCAAGTAGCTGGGACCACAGGAAAGTGCCACTAGGTCTGGCTAATTTTTGTATTTTTGGTAGAGACAGCTTTTTGCCATGTTGCCCATGCTGGTCTCCAACTCCTGACCTCAAGTGACCCACCAACCTCGGCCTCCCAAAATGTAGAAATTACAACAAGAGCCACGAAGCCTGGCCTGGAGTTGTGGCTTTTTGACATAAGAAATCTGTGGAGGGAAAAGCTTGGTTTGTGGGAGCACCCGAGCTCAGTTTGGCTCAAAGGTTTGGGATACCTATTATTGAGTGGCAGTGATGGTATGTTGTTAATGTACAATATGTTCCTGTATATAGCATACGTCTATGCTCATCAGATATTTTCAGGTAAAAAAAAGATAGTCTTTCCAGTAGTTTGAGCCATTATAGCAATTTCCACCAGGGGATTTCAAAGTCCAATTCCAGTTGTGGGCAACAGTGATTAACATAATGGTAATTAATGAGAAGAGATTTTGAGACGTCCAGCCACGTTTCCATGTCAGTGCCTTGTTTGCAGTATTATGAAGAAAGAGTGCATTGGACTAGATACTAAGAAAAACATTGAATTATTTTTCTTGCCTCTATAACATCAAAGGACAATTAGAGATATAGAAACTATGGAACATTTCACAGCATGGCTTGACATTTCACTGAACTTTTATCCTTTTAACCATGTACAAAGTTTGTTACCTATGCAAAGGTAGGACTGCAAAAGGAAGACAGAGGTGGAGTCAGAGGTCACAATCCACAGCAAGGTGACACTCTTGTTGATCGCACCTTGAAAGCCAAATTAGAGCGAGAATTAACTTTCCGGTTGCCGTAAGAGAACAAGGAGAATGAAGCTACCAGCAGTTAACAGTATTGGATTAATTGAAATGAAGGTGGACAGAGTTTTTTGGCTTTCCATCAAATTGAGTAAAGAAAAGGTAACCGCTTATCTAATTTCACACACATACAATTATGGATTAATTAAAAGATTACACAACCCATATATTATGGGTTTCTCATATAAGTGTATATATACATGGGCAAACTCACAGTGTGCCAGTATGTGTCTATATCCAAATATATACAAATCCATGTCCAACAGTTAGCAAGTGAGAAATTCTCTTCCATTTCACCATTCCCTTTCCTAGAATTTTTTCATAAATATAATTTTTCCATATATTTGAAGCCTACTCTCTGGAGGCATGTAATGCATGCATGCAGTAAACCTGTGCGATATCACAATGTTGGTGTCAGAGAAAACTATAACACCGATGTTATAAAAGATTAATTGTGAGGAGAAAGTTATGCTTCGCATTACTACAAATACACAAGTATGATTTCATCCAAAGCTGAAATCAGTCAATATAATTTGTTTTTAATGTTTTATTTAAAATCCTTAATTTCAACAGGATTACTCAAGAAAAATAACGTTATTGGTATTAAATAATGTTGACGTATTCCCTTTAATTGTTGATTATTTAAAATGTCAGTAAAATAGTAAATGGCACTGTACAATGTAGTTTCATGAAGCATTCTTTATAGTTTTCATAAAATTGATAGTCTCCATGGAATATTTTAAGACTGAGGAAGTTCCATATATCATTTGATTGTACTTTCACTTTATTACTTGCTTGCATGTCATAACTGATGGAAATAAAACTATGTATATTTACAAATATGAAAAACATGGATTTTTGTTTACGTTTTCTAGTGAGACACAGTTACCAATAATTTTATCTATATAGGAAAATTTTTACAAACCCAAAGTTCTAATGTTTCTTTTCTTTGAAGTTTCGTATTTCAGTCTAGGTATGTAATGGAATTGGCTGTGATCATTCTTTGATTTCACTGTTATTTGTGAGTTTCTGATATGCTTTTAGGAATGAATAGAGTTTAACGCTTGCTTTCTTCTTCTTCCTCTACCTTTGGACCTGTATATGCGATGTCTGCAGTAATGTGCAGTGCTATCTGACATACGGTTGCTGAAAGATACAAGCATATATAGAATTCTTCGTTTCAGTGAATCTTTAGGAACAGACAAGTAACCTGAGAGATAATTACGGTATGAATGTAAGCAAGCAGTTTATCATAGAGGTACAATAAGGGTGAAAATAAATTTAAAAATACATGCCTCATCCAAAACATGAGGTAGTAAAAATGAAAAATTTAAGTTGGCATAAAGAACACTTTAAAAGTTCTGATTCTTTCTGGTGAGAGCAAGGAGCTCAGAAACCATGAGAAAGTCCTTCAAAGCTGCATGTTGGATTTGCAGGTCAGGATGGAAAGCCTGGGTCTGGGGGAGGGTGCTAAGGTCCTGGTCAGGTTGAGGTCCTTCTGGGGCTCAGGTGTGTCTCAGCGGGAAAGCTGGGAAGGGGAAACGCATGCTTCACCCCGGCTAGAATGCCACCTCAGCCCACCTAGATGAAATTGCCCCTTCACAGCCCTGTTTCTCCTTCTTGGACAGGCAGGTGGAGGAACTCGGCCACCCTGAATACAAGGGGTAGGAAGAAGTTTGCCTTTCATCACAACATTTACTTCGGAAACAAAGTGATGACTAAGGAGTATTGCGTTGGCATCCTCCCTGAGGAGTAGAGGGGGTAGTACCTCGGGAGCTGGGCCTGGCGTGCGCCTTCCTGACTCGTCTCCCTCCAGGATACAGGGCGACTGGCTCCACTGCAGTCCAGTGGTTCTAGGGTCATGCAGGTGAAAGCCCGAGTTTCCCGCAGGTCACTGCCTGAGCTTCTTCAGCTGGTTGTCTGACTGTGAGGGCCCAGGTTACGGCACGATTGCTGAGGTGGGACAGCTATGGGGCATCATGGCAAAGGACCTTCTTCGACATTCCTTGGCATCGGAGGAATTGGCTTTGAACCAGAACCTGACCTGTCACGACCAATTTGCCCAGTCCACCAGATCATCAGCCAGGGCCTGTGGCTCTATATTCTGCAGCACTACCCAAGGGAGTTAGGCCCTCAGAGAGGGAACAGAGAAGAGGCCAGGGAAGCAGCCCAGGGCTGGGGGTTGACAGGCCTGTGGGTCCTGGAGTTAGGACACACATAGAGAAGCCAAGGCTCAGGGAGGAGACTGCAGTAAGGAAACTCAGGCCATCATGGGCTGGTGGAGAAATGCCCATCAGGGAACTGTGGTACCCACATTTCACGATGGGGGAACCGTAATCTGCTTAATAGGCATAAGTAGCTAAGGTCAATGGGTGGGAAGCCAGGGTCAAGAGATAGCTGCCTCATCATCCCTTGCTAGCTACTTCCCTGTCCTGAGGCTTGCTTCTACCTGGGGTTCAGTTTGGGCTCAACCAGGGATCTCTCACCCTCCACACAGATGCCCACCTGAGGCCTCTCTAGGTCTGCGTCCTCCCAGAATGACTCTCCCAGGCCTGCTAAGTACCGTTTGGATGACACCACGCTCCACTGACATGCTTGGTTCCCTCCGCCATCCTCATTCACCCAGCAACTCCCCACCCCAAAAAAGGCAGGCCACCGCACAGGGAATCTGGAGGACCACACAGGGCTCACAGGGGAGGAAATGTGAAGAGATGGCAAAACAGAACAGGACATTCCGTGTGTTTCCAGAAGGCAATCTGGCTGGATATTAAGGCCCACCTCAGTATTGGTGAGGACACCCAGTGTCTCTTGGCCCTGAGCTTGTGCACACAAACACGCACATTGTCTAAACGGCATTGACATCACTACTACCTGAGTCATCCTCAGATTCTATACAACCCCTGTAAAAATATCAATGACACATTCTTCTTAGAAAAACAATCTGGGAATCCCAAATTTGCTATGAAATGGCAGAAGATCCTGAAAACCCAGAGCAATCCAGTAAAAAGCACAAAGCTGGAGCCACCACACTACCTAACTTCATGATATACTACTACAAAACTTTTTGTACCAAAATACAATAGCACTGGCAGAAAAGCAGAGACTAGAGCTTAGGAAAAACAACAGGAGCCCAGAACTAAGTCACTGCATTTGCAGCTCACAGCCTTTTCCCAAAGAAGCAAGAACGACCAATGCAAAATCAAGTATCTTCTATAAACTAGGTTGGGGAAATCTGAATAGCCACACAAAGGATTTTACAAGTGGATTATTTATCACCAAACTCCAGTGTCAGATGTGAAACGATAAAAATAGCAGAAGAGATCACAAGGAAGAAGCTCCATGGCGTCCGTGTGTGCAATGATGGTCTCAAAGTGACTGCAAGAACACAGTAAACACCATCAAAAATAGAGAATGGAATCATATCAAACTAAAGTGCTTCACCACACCATAGAAAACTCAACATACAGAAGGGGCATCCTACAGGATGGGAGCAATGATTGGATCACCATACATCTGTTCATGGGGGAATAGTCACAGTACATAAGGAACTCCCAACAACTCAATAGCATGAAAACAAATGGGCGAAGGCTGCGAAGACTCATTTGTGAAACTGAGACATACAGTTGCCCAGAAGACACACTAAAAATTCCTCATTATCCCCAATCCATCACGAAAATGCAAATCAAAAACACAATGAGATTTCTTCTCACTTCAGTCAGAATGCATATTATCCGAAAGACAAACAAACAAAAAAAAAAAAAGAAAGAAAAGAAAACCCTAATCTCTGGTGAGGAGGCAGAGAAAACGAATTCCCTGCTCACTTTTGGGGAGAATGTAAATTAGTGCTGGCATTAAAGAAGCTTTATGGCTCTTATTTAAGTATAAACAGCCTTCAGAAATCTACAAGTAGAACCACCCACTATATGATCCAGCAAATCAGAATACCCGGGCACGCCCGCCAGTACACAGATCAGTATGTTGAAGCGGTGCGCGCACCCATGCAATTATTGCTGCACTCATTACATTTTTGCTGTAGCCAAAATGCGGAAGCAACCTGAGTGTCCCTCCATTGATAAGTGGATTAAAAAATGGGGCAAAAACGCATATGCGCAACGGAAATATGCGCTGCAATAAGAAATCAGGAAATCCTGCCAGTTGTGAGAATGTGTGGGAATCTGCTGAATGTGTGCATGCCATTCTGTTAAGTGACATAAGCCAGGTATCAGAAAGGAAAATAGCACATGATCTCATTCTTATATGAAATCAAAAAAGCGGACTTCACAGAAGTAGTGACTCCAATGACTGCGGTGAAGAGGGTGCACTGACGAGATGCTGGATGAAGAACTCATACTTCTAGTTATAAAGGAGGAATAGGTTAAAAATATTTTCTTCAGCATGCTCACTATAACTAGTGGTAACATATTCTTTCTCTAAAAATATTCGAATACAGTGCAGGTCAAGTTTTTTCACAACAAAAATGACAACTATGTGAGGTCACACATATGTTGATTGGCTGGATGTATCCAATGCATAATGTATATGACCTGTTGAACATCACGCCTTAAGTTGTAAATATGTATCATTTCATATGACATTTTTTAAACAAACATACAATTTTTAAAATGCCTTAACAAAATAAATGCAAATAAAATATTTTATTATAAAGCAGTGCTTTTCTTTTCTAGCAAAGTCTTTTTCATGACACAGGAAAGAATGCAAGCCGTTTCGTAACTTGAGAAATAAATACATATGTGTACATGTATATATATACGTATATACATGTATATACGTATATAAATGTGCATATATACGTATATACATGTATATACGTATATATGTGTGTACATAGGTATTCTTATATAGGTGTATATATATATGAAAATCCCAATGAATGCTGATGATGAGTTGAAAGATAGAAATTCCAGGCACAGAGGCTATAGTCCATGAATTGAAACCTTCAGTGCATGTTTCAAAACAAGACGTGAGGAGGAGGAAGAAAAAAGCAAAAAACACAAAGCCATGGCAGGGCCATGGGTCACACCTGTCATCCCAGCACTTTGATAAGCTGAGGTGGGAGGATTGCCTGCACTCAGGAGTTCCAGATGAGCCTGGGGCAACATGGACCCACATTCAAAAAGTAAGTATTTAGTTAATTAATACATAGCTTGGAGGGGTGGCATGCACCTGTACTGCCAGGTGTGTGAGAGTCTGAGTTGACAGGATCACATGGGTGTGTGGTGCCTGGGCTGCAGTGGGCTGAGATCGTGGGGCTGCTGTCCAACCTAGAAGACAGAGTAAGACCCATTCTCGGAAAACAAACAAAAAAACAGTCACATTAGGTAAATTAAAACTATGTAGTGTGAGGAGAATCAAAATAAACGAAACATCATTAGAGCCTACGCGATGTGATGAAGGAAACCAGCTTTCACATAATAACAGCCCCGGCTGGGGAGAACAATGAGAAAGGGCAGAGAGAACCCTGTAAATAATACCACGCCAAATTCCCCAAATGAGTTAAAACACATAAAAGTACGAAGAGTGCTTCTTTTCAATTCAATGCCCTTGAATTCAGAATTAGAAAGTAAACCCAGATAGAGAATAGAAAGATAGACGATACAGATGGAGAGAGTGTGGTGGGGAAGCAAGGGAAGGATGAAAGGGGTGTAAAGGAAGGAAAAGAAAAAAGGAAGGGAGAGAGAGTGACAGATGTTCAAAGACACAGATACAAAGTCTACAATGGTTGTAGAGATAGGCATGTGCAAATTGTCGCAGGGAGTGTGGAAAAATATCGGAACCACGGAGACACAGGTGGAGTCAGAGAAAATATACAAACCCGCACAGAGAAATAAACATACGCAACCACAAACACACACGTGCTACTTTAAACACGAAAAGACACCAAGTCCCTGTCGGTACAAATCACAGATGTGCTTCCGAGTTACTGAGGCACGGTGCAAATTTGTCAGTGCCCTTAGCATCTGTGGCCCACGTGCACGGATATTCAGTGGAAGAAGCATTACACAGCCTGTATAATTCAGCACGATCTGTGATAATACCAGAAGAAGGGATCTCATGTGAAATCACTAGACTGAATTGCACGTAGGATTCAAGGAAGAAGCCCAGTCTGCTGCATTCAGTCGGTGGGGTGGCAATATGGCTGAGCCACCAACCCGTGGCACGCCCATCCATCGTAGACAGTTCCTGGTTTGCTACCTGCCTTGGAAAAAGCTCCTCCCCTACCACCACTTTAAAACAGGCTAGCTCCAAAACTAGCCCTGGCATCTATTTACGGTCATTTTCTTATCTATTTACCTCCTAGAAAAATCATTGCAAGACCCTTTCCTCAACATTTTCCTATGCCTTAAATTTGGGGCAACACGTTTTAAGACGACCTCGTTATAGGCAAGTCCCCAGACGTTTCCTAATCTGAGTTGCCCAGAGTGCACACACCAATCTGTTGCCCCATTGCCGCTATAGGGATACCGTACTGGACCACAGTGTCTTTGACATGCACACAGTAGGATACAGGGCAGCTTGAGGGGGCCAAAGGGTTCCGACTGTTTTCAGAATAATTTGCTTAGAACACCTGTTTCTCCTGTGTTTGTGGGTCAGGGGGACGGTAGTCAGAGGAGGACAAGACTCCCGCTCCAGAGCTTCAGAGGTCTGCATAGGAGCAGGGACAAAACCGGGCGATAGATTTTCAAAGCTCAACTGCTTTGACACCGAGCAGGAGGGGTAGAATGCATATTGCAGGCACCACAACAGATTCAGGAACTTTGACTGTCAAACCCTCTTCCCTGAAACAACATAGCTCTTCTCACAGAAGCTGTGCTGACCAGAGTCTATACGGGACAGCAATGTTAGCACTCTAGTAGCGTGTGGTCAACATGGATGCTCGTGTTGGAACTGTTTCATCTGGGAACAGGAAAGAAAGTTCTGCCTCCGACACTGAAATCCTCCTGCCCCATCCTTGACAGAGGCAACCCCTTGTCTTGTGCAGACACACGTGTTCCTGGGAAGCAGCCTCCCACTCGCGAATGAAAGCTGTATGTTTTGTCCTCCTGTGTGAGGCTTGCAAAACATATTCCGCAACTATATTCGCTTTACGTTCTAAACCTTAGGCAAACTATGCTGAAGAGGCCACAGAAAATTTAGGGGCCCTGGGCTCCAGATACAATCTGCAGTGCCAATCACGAGGGAGAATAGAGCCTCACTAGACTTTGCAAGAGCACAAAATGCACTCGTACTGTTGTTAGCTACATACGTTATTGGCTCCTCACCTAACACAGAATCTTGGAGAAAAGCTTAAAACAACTAAAGATGTAAACATCAACAAGAGTGTCCATATCCTGGGTCATCAAGTGACAAGAGAGTCCATGGATGGATTCTCCAACAATCTTATATTCCACTAATCCACCCCCTTTCCCCTCACTTCTGTAAGTTTCTGTTTTCCCTTAGTCATCTATGCCAAAAGCGTATCCTGAATGCCTTCCCACATGCCTCTGTCACCTTTCCCACAGTCCCTCCATACACCTTACATGCCCATTTCTTCTCACGTTGATGTTTCAGAAGTCCTGAGAGGCTGATTGTCCCAGAAAAGGATCATGCATTCACCTTTAAAAGAACATGTGGATTCAACACGAAAGCGAACTTTAAGATTTCCATCATCCTGTGCTTAGCTACTGTGTATGATGATACCCAAAATGAAGGATTTTGGAGGTCCCAGCAAACTGGGCCCTGGAAACCCAGTAACCCCTTTCCTTGAACTATCTCTGCTTCCATAGGACGAAGTCAGCCTCCAACTAAGCTGTCTTTTGCTTTTACCTCTCCCACTCTGTCCTGTAGGAAGAATCCCAACACATCCCACACCCATTCACTCTACAACTTTAGAGGCCCAGCTCCAACGCAGACTGGTTATTTCCATGAAGAGAATAAAGCACGTGGATTGATCAATTCATTATGACACCCGAATAAAGTGGATAAACATACACACACAGACACACACACAAACTCAAAGACACACACACACACACACAGACACAGAGTCACACATCCTTGAGAATGTTTATTTTTCATTCCATACAATCCACATTTACCCCCTCTTCCTGAATTTTTGTGACTCGATCTCTTTTTCCTTTAGTTCCTGTGCATAAGACCATGCTGAGTACTGCCGTCCTGCATATGGCTGTAACTTTTTAGGAGTTCTGCTGTATTAGGTAAAATCTGATGCTCCATCATATTCAACTCAACAACTGGGAGTCCCCTAGAGAAACACAAACTCATGTTAAAACGCATTTTCTCTGAGCCATACTTTGAAATGTTTCAATTGTGGGGCCCGCTGAGAAAAGGATATCCCTTCCCCATTTGTGATCCCTTAAACTTCCTCCTACCACGTGTTACAAACTGTTCTGCGCAATCCCTGCCCCATTCCCAGTATTGTCTGTGAGGGGAGTCAGCTAACAAGATGCACTGGGCCCTAAAAGCACACACAAGTCTGATGGGGCAACAGCTTAAGGAAATCCATCAATCTAAACAGTCCTTTGTGGTTTGGGGCAAGGATGACCAGGACGCACATTCAGGGAGCCCAATCTCATGGGGTTGGTGGGATGACTGCCGGTGGGGTTGACAGCCGTGGAATCAAGTGCCACAGACTGAACTGAATGATTTTCAGCTTTACTTCTCATTGATTCTGGAAATGGACGATTCTTCACTGGGCTTAAGACTCCACAGCTATCACCCGCTTTGCAGTGCAGTCTCTAACGTGCCTTTTCAGCCCAATGCCATGAACGTCCTGGATTCTGTCACTCTCTGTCTTCCTCTCAAGGAATTTCTACATGTACGAAAGGAGCCTCAATTTCTACATTTCTGAAATGAGCACCCAGGCTCCCTGAATAGGCAGGTGTGTCAACCCCCTTATACTGGGCATCAAACAGCTCCAGTGCCAACTAACGGCTCACCTGACGTCTCTGTTCCCTCTTCAGGTGGCTTCATCCTCTTGTAGTATTGCAGGGGATTGCGCCACAGGTCCTTACATAGGATCTGTCAGGGGACTCAATCGGGAAAGGCCTCATCAGGGCTCAGAAAGGTGACCCAAGCAGCTGGGAACACACGGGGTCATTCCTCATGTTTCCCAGTGAGGACTCACCTCAGCAATCTTGTTAGATCCTGCGAAGTTGTGGTCAGAGAACCAGTTGAAGAAGTTAAGGCTGCTGTTGTGGTGTCTGCGGCGATAGGCCTCCACTTCATAATCCGGATACCACTCAATTGGAGTGGAATGAGAAGCCCTGTATTCTACAGAGACAGGAGTTTTTGTGGGAAGGGGGCTGGATCCCGTTGGCAATGATCCACCCACCATCTTCCTTCCACTACCCATCCTGGGAGCCACCTGTCACCTGTGATGTTCACCAGATATTCCTTGGTAATCACTTTATTCTGGAAGTAGGGGTTACTCCGAAAGAACAACATGATCTTGCAGAGATGAACAGGATGCTTCTCTTCTTCCACCTGTCAGGACAAGGTGGAGAAAGCTTAGATAGGTTTTCGGGTGAGGTGCTCACTCTTGCTTACAGGAATGAATTATTTCCCTTACCCTCCCCCGCTAAACCCTCTAGCCCCAGTCTTCCTGGCCTCACCTCCAGGCTGACCATGTAGCTCAGCATGTCTTCATCTTCGTCAGTGATCAGGGCTGACATCTGGGGGTGGTTTGCAATCTGATTTAGGTCAAAGAGACTTTACACACGATGGAAGGGAAAGCGAGGAGCAACAGGGAAGAAGGCCTAAGAGCACCCAGAGGCTGGGGTAGGGGATTTCTCAGATCTGCTTCCATGTATGATCTCCTTTCGCCTCCCCGTCCCCGTAAACTAAGGCCTCCTGTGTTCACAGAGGGTGTATGATTCTGAGGCTGACTGCACTGACATGGGGAGGCGCGATTTGCAGAGACTTGCTGGTGTCTGAGGAGTGGCAGAATCTGCTTATAGCCGAAGACGCCCAGTCCCAGATCGGACTAGCAAGGGGCAGCAATCACACTCCCTTAAAAATAGCTTCATTCACTGAAAAACCTCTTCCGCTCTGAACTCGCTTCTGCTCTTCAAAAAGATGCCCCAAACGTCTGCTGCTCGGCATCACCAAGGGTTTCTCTGCCGCATGCAGGACAATAGTACCCACGCCTGCTCCGGCTTTCCACAGCCACATTGGTCCGTGGCAACTCCCCTTTGTTCCCCAAAGAGTCACATCGACGCCGAGCTGCCCATCGGTCACTTACACTTCCCCGAGAGCACCTCTCCACTAGAAAGGCCGAAGAAACACTGAGAAGGATACAACATTGGCCCAGAAGCCAGGGACGCTCTGGATGACGGCGCCTCTGCGGTCTAGCTGGGGCTTGCGCCTCCGCTCCATCTTTTCCCGCTGCCGAGAAAAGGCCTTCCTGGCTTGGGCATTAACCGGCTCCAGCTCCACCTGAACGGCCAGCAGCTCCTCCAGTGCAGACTCTGGGGTCATGGGCCCAGGGCCAGGCACAGCCTGCTGTGCCCGCTGGGCCTCCTCCCGCCGCTCCACGAGGCCCTCCTCCTCCGCCACCACCTCCACCTCCGCCATTATGTCATCCAACAGCAGCACCGCCTCCTCCCCCAAAGCCGCCTGCTCACTCTCCACCCCGGCCGCCCCCTCCTGTACAGCCTCCATCCTGAAGGCGGTGCCCTCCTTGGCACTCGCACACACCAAGGCCTGTGCTGCCCGACCCACGCCACAGAAACCCTGCCGCAGCCTCTCTGGCACCCGGTAGGTCAGCGAGCCCTCAGGGCGCATGCGCCGGGCTTCCAGGCGCCCCCTAAGGGACTGCGCGCGAAGGGCCGGGGGGCCGCACCCAGGCCGACTTCCTCCCGTCGTGGCCAATCAATGGGAGGGCGGTGGGCGTCTCCCTGGGCGGCACAGCCACTGGCGGGCCTGCATCTCCAGCCCCCCCACCCCCCGCCTTCCCTGCCCAAGCCTCCTCCGAGAAGCCCTTGGAGCTTGTGCCGGGTAGCTAGGCATCCGGGCACACGCGGGCTGCGTGGCCTTTGGAATTGTGGGCATGGCAGCCCTGTGCCCTGACATCCTCAGTGTGGCAAGCCATGAACATCTCTATGTGTCATGAACACAGGAAACATCTCTCTTCGTTAGGCAGGCCAGGTAGATGGTACGGAGGTAATACAGCAGATGCAGAGAACTCTCTCTGGTTGCTGGGGCTAGGGCGGCAGGGGTGTCCTGGGGGAAGTGATCGGGGCGGGCACGTGGGAGGAAAGTCGCCTGCCGGTGCTGAGGTGGAATTGATCTGCTGTAGAGGCCAGAGCCCCGGCACACACTCTCACAGGTCGAGGCAAATAGAGGCTCCGAGTACCATGCTTCCTCCCTGAGGATGCTGTACTCCAGGGAGCATTCCAAAGGGCCTCTTGTCCTATGCCCTGGGCACACCAGAGGCCAGCCGCCAGGGTTGGCCATTGTTGGCCTGCGCGCACGCTGTTGTGCGCTGCCTTGACGACCCAGAGGCTCCCGCACCCGCAGCAGCGGTTGCGGTGCCTGTTGGTGGGGCTCTGCAAGCCCAGGGCCGGGGCCTCTGGCTCCCGAGCTCCTGTGCGCAGTTGAGCCTGCTGGGGACCGGAGCCCTTTGGCCAGTGCGGGATCTGCGGGTCCAGCGGAGCTCCTCAGGAAACCTGGGTCCACGTAGGTGTGGGACCAGGTTCACAGCAGGGCGACGCCCGTGGGTCTTGCAGGGAGCGGGTCTGCTGGGGAGCGGGCCCCCAGAGCCTACGGGTGCGGGGCATGGGCTGGGCTGGGCTGGGCTGCGCAGGCCCAGGGTCTGTGGGAGCACCCAGGAGAAAACCGTGTTCAGGCTGGAGGCAATGCTGGAGAGGACGGCCGGGGTACAGAGCAAGGAGGCGGCCTTGGAAGAGGAGGCGGTGCTGAAGGTGGAAGACATCATGGCTGAGGTGGAGGTGGTGGTTGAGGTGGAGCCCGACGTGGGGTGGCAGAAGGAGGGCCAGCGGGCACAGCCTGGCCCTGGACCGAGCACACCGGGGCCGTCAATGGACTCGCTGGAGGTCCTTCACTTGGAGCTGGGCTCCGTGAATGCCCCAGGCCACAGAGCATCTCCGCCTTGTGAGCCAGAGCCATATCCTTGCGGCTGCCGATTTGGGATGGCGGGCAGCAGGGGATAGTCATCGGGCCTCGGGGGGTATGGGGGCTGTTTGGGGGGAGGAGCCAGGTGGGAGGCACGTGGGGTCAGCCAGGAGGCAGGGGATGGGGGACAGCGTGGGAGCCGAGGCCACGTTCCCGCAGCTGTGAGGGCAGCTCGCTTGTAGCAGCCCTGGGAGCACGTGGTAGGGAAGGGGAGCCAGGGCCAGCACTGACAAGGGAGAATCGCGGCGCCAAGGTCCCTTTGCGCACAGCCCAAATTCGAAGGACGCGTTTCCCTGGGAACGTCCCTGGAGGACGGGGAATCTGTATGCCATTACCAGCCATTGAACCACCCCTGCTCTCGGTGCCTGTTTCCAGCAGGCTCACCCCAGAAACACAAGGTGCTTAAGACGGGTTCGCGGCGCATGGGGCTGCCGACCACCTGACGGCGGGCACCAGCTCCGCAGATGCGCATTCATCCAACTGCAGGCGCTGCACTCAAAGGCGTGTAGGCCCTGAGCCTGTATAACTTCCTCTGGACCCACGCAATTCCCTTGGAGAGCGCCAGGCACGACCCTGCTGTGGCTTCTAACTACAAGGCTTCCCTCAGGTGGACAGGCCCACCCCTCAGGGAGACTAGGATAAGAGGACACCACACACCCGGACATCAGCGGAGCATGTCCAGCACCCAGCACACAAAGGCCTCCTGCATCTCAGAAACTCAGAGAAGCAGCCGCCTCACACCACCCCCGGTCCCTCCCGTCCCTCAGCTGCAACCACCTGCCCACTTTTTCTGCCTCCCGTCTCTGGTCAGCCCAGGCCGTCTTGGCCGGGGTCCACCCACTCCAAAAACCACCACAGTTGTGGCGTTGCCTCCTCGCCAGACAGAGATAGAGGGCCAACAATGAAGGGTGACTGGCCAAATGTCTGGGAGATGGCCCTGTTCCACATTGTCTGTGTTCTTGCGAAATTGCAAGGCGTCACGAGGCTTGCCCACCCAATCCTCTGGAGAGTTCTTGCGCAGAGGTAGATTGTTTGGCACACGAGATGTCGGCGTGGGTCGGAAAGCATGCGGAAGTCCTGCTTTGCTACGTGATGGATTTGCAGGTCAGGCTGGGGAGCCTGGGTCTGTGGGAGGAGTCCAGTGTCTGAGTCAGTTTGAGGTCCCCCTGGGGACCAGGGTTGTCTCAGTGGGAGAGCTGGGAAGGGGAAACTCATGGTTCACTACAGCTAGTAGGCCACCTCAGCCCAGCTAGTTGAGATGGTCCCATTGAATCCATCCTCTTTCTCCTTGATCCGGCAGGTGGAGGAACTCAGCCATCCCGGTTACCGGTGGCAGGATGATTTCCTTTCATCCCAACCTTTATTTCCACAGTGAAATCATCATGAAGGAGCACTGTGTTGGCATCCTCGGTAAGGAATGCCTCCCAGCATGGTAGGGGAGCTGGTGTGTGGGAGGGTGGGACTGGCATGAACCTTCCTGACTCCTCTCCCTGCAGGCTACAGGGTGTCTCATTCCACTGCAGTCCAGCGGTTCTGGGATCACGAAGGTCAAGCCTCCAGCTGCAGGCAGTACACCTCCTACCTGAGCTCATTCAGCTGTTTGGCTGAACATGACTGCCCGGGTTTTGGCAGGATTGCTGAGGTGGGGTTCGCCATGGGGCATCATGGGAAAGGACCTAGCTGGTCATTCCTTGGTCTCTGGGGAATTGGCTTTGAACTGTCACCTGAACTGTCCTGGACCCACTTCTGCAGTCACCTAGATCATCAGCCAGGGCCTATGGCTCAATCCATTGCAGTTCTATCCCATGGAGAGAGGGTCAGCCCTAGAGGCGGAACAGAGAGGAGGCCAGGCGAGCAGCCTAGGGCTGGGAAGGGCTGGGAACTGAGAGGCCTTTTGACCTGGATCTGGGCCCCACATGGAGAACCCAAGGATCCGGGAGGAGACTGCAGTGAGCAATCCCAGGCAATCCGTGGGTTGGGGGAGAGAGGCCCATCAGGGACATGTAACACCCACATTTCAGGATCGGGGCACCTTAAGCCACTATGATGCATATGTGGCTAAAGTCAGTGGGTGACAAGCAGGGCTTAAGGGATAGCTGTCTCATCATTACTCGCCAGCTCCCTGCCCTGCGGTAAGACCTGCTACCACCTGGGGCTCATTTTGAGATCAACCAGGGCCCCCTTTTTCTCCATGAGGATGTCCACCTGAGGCCCACCTAGGTCTGTGTCCTTTCACAGTGTTTCTCCCAGGCCAGTCATGTTTTGTTTCCATGACCCCGGCTGCCTTGACATGTGTAATCCTCTCTGCCATCCTCACTCCCGCTGCCCTGCCTTCCCATATAAGTTAGTCCACCTCACACGGAATCTGGAGGACCACACTGGGCTCCAGTGTGAGGCAATGTTTTATTTTCTTCAGGTACATGTATTTTAGGGCTACCTCCAGGGCTGGGAATGTGAAGAGATTGCCAAATGGCTGGGGACCTTCAGTGTGTGTCCAGGGAGGGAACCTGGCTGGGAATTAAGGCCCACCTGAGTAATGGTATGGACATCCAGTGTCAGTTATCTTGATAAAGGCCTGCTTTCTTACATCACCTACTATTAATATAAAAGTTAATTCCTTAGAATATTGAAAAAACAAATCTATGTATGAAGAAATATAATTTGTTCATAATTGTATGGAAAAAACTGCCGACTGATCCATTTTCCATTACAATTCTTATGGGAGACTTGAAGTGTTCAGCAAGTTTTAAGATGCATTTCTATTCGTCTACTCCTGCCAGTTTTTATGATCATTTTTGTAATACAAGGACATGGCCTCTGGAAAGTTTTTGAGGGACTTTCAGCTTCTTTTAGGGTAGATACTTGTAAATTTTGAATTGTTTTCCCCTGCGGTTCTTTTGAGGTTACTCTTCGTACTTTCTTTGGGGGGTGTTAAATTTGTTTTCTTGTTTCGCCCTTGTGGAACTTTCGTTTTCAAGGAATTGTGTGTGTGTGTGTGTGTGTGTGTGTGTGTGTGTGTGTGTGTGTGTGTGTTAGATATGGGAGTTAGCCTGTGAGCATGTTTTCGAATACGATTTTTTACTTATCAATTTTGGGGGTGTGTGTGTGTGTGTGTGTGTGTGTGTGTGTGTGTGTTTGTTTCTTTTCAGTTGGAGTCTCACTGTGTCATCCAGGCTGCAGTCAAGTGGCAAACTCTCAGATCACTGCAACCTCTCCCTCCAGCTTCAAAGGATTCCTCTGCCTGCTGATGCTGTTTTTCCCCCACATGAGGAGAACATGCAGACAGTTATAAAAAATTCTGTGCCTGGGTAGGTATGAAAATATAATTTCAATGAATGGTAAATTTCACAAATACAGTTTCACATTTGTATTTTGCAACATTTTGAAAATTTTAGTTGCTGACACATGAAATTCTGTGTTGACTTTCATGTTAAATGTACACTTTTGAATCAATTTCAACAGTGACAACTAGCGAAGGCCAAGCGTTCGTTCAGGAAGCTGAAAGCAGTCGTTCTGTAAAAAAAACGATATTTATTGAAGGTATATTTAGAGAGATTTTAGAAGGCTTCAGTCAATATTTTTGTTTCTGTTGCTCTGGTGTTTTATCATACAGGGACCAGACTGTAGCATCAGTAGCTATAGTTACAAGGCTACCAAAGACTCAGTGCTATAGAAATTATTATTGTGGAAATTGGCAGCCTGGCTGTCTGTTTGAGGAGACTAGAGGACTTAGGAGTTTCCACCCAAAGTACAAGGGCCTGGTTTAGTGGGTGGCCTTCTTTTGCTGAAGTAGATAAGATCCAGGAGAAGGGTGGATTCACTGTAGTAGCCAGGGCTTTGAGACTGGTAAAGCTTATTTGTCTCCTAGTGCCATTGCCAGATATTGGTCTGTGCATAAAGGCACTTCCCGGACTCGCTGACTCCTGTAAATTCAAATGTAGAATTTAGATTTAAATCCCTATTCCAACTTCTTAAACTTAGATCTAATAGGTGGGTAATAAAATATGTATTCAGAAGAAAGGGAGACGTCAGGTAGCTATATAAGCAAATCATCCTGGTCAAATACCTTCAAAAATATTACTACAAAAAATTACTGAAGATTAAACCTTAAAAAAGTTATTTTAATTGGAGAAACAGAAAAAGGTTGGAGTCATTTTAAACCCTGAGGTGTAAAGGTACTGTTATTAGATTACAGGAATTATATACAATGAATAATTTGTGGGAAGAGCAGCATACTATCTCTTTAGTATGGCTAGAGATTCATAAGCCGTGTAAGAAAACTCAGAGATTGAGAAGAAAATGTTTTCAGGGATTTTGTTCTGTTATGAAAGACTTTTAAAATGGTTTCCTACTGATCAATGATTCACTTATATTTATCACTGAGGCATATGCTATATACCCTTCTATATAGGGATGAAGTTATAGTTTCTATCATGTAGATACAAAAACATGTGACTCTGTACCACATTTGCATTAGAGCCTTTGGCATGATTAATGAAGCAAACGGTGGAACTGTCTACGTCAGGTTACAGGTGGGCACAGCTGGAAGCTTCCGTCCCTTGCACTTTAACATTTCTGCATTCTCATCTGTCTCTCCTGGAAAGAAAACGGACTATAACTATCCTAAAGGACATATGTTACATGAAGACACTAAGTATTGAGATAAGACCATGAGTTGTCTTATCAGTGTCTTGGCATTACATTTATATGTATAACTTATACAAAAAATCCAGTTTATTTTATCACGATTACATATTACATCCCACATTTATGTATTTTATTATCTTTCCAGTGACTGTTTTGTTTTGTTTTGTTTTGTTTTGTTTTGAAATCTCGTTCCACTCTGTCACTCAGTCTGGAATGCAGTGGCCTGATCTCAGCTCACTGCAACCTCCATCTCTTGGGTTCAAGGATTTTAAAAATTAGTAAAGAATTTTCAATTGAGTTAGCAGAAGTAAAAATAAACTTAAGTGGAAATAGAACAACAAAATTGTAAACACTATTTCTCAGCAATTCATAGATTATCATACTAGGAATTGAAATGTACTTAGAACTCAATGATACCGCCAATATTAAAGATTAAATCTGTGAGTAGCAAGAAAAGTGATATTACAATAGGAGTTTACAGACAAATATTTCTCTAATAACTTGAAAATTAATGTACTAGATATTTCAATAAAGAATTAGAAAAGAAACAACAGAATCAATTCTGAAAAACTAAAGTGTGGGAATAATGATGTAGACAAAATTAGTAAAACATACAAAGCTAACCTTTGCTTGTTGGAGAAATATAATAAATGATGCAACCGTCAGTCAAGTTTAGAAAAAAAGGGAGAAAACATAGATAAAACTAAGAATTTAAAAGGTACACAACCATAGATACAGCATAGATTAAGAAGCTAATAAGGAAATATCATTAACACCTTAACCTACAAATTTGAAAACTTAGATCAAATAGACAGATATTTATAATCTGTCTATATATATAGACATATATATCGCTTTCTATATATATTTTCATATTTATACATAATTTTTATATTTGTATCTTACATTTATATATATAATATATAAACATAAGCTATGTATATAGCTTAGTAAAATTGATACAAGAAGACATATATAATCTGTATAGTCTCATAAATGTTCAAGGAAATAAAGGATTCTTCCTAGAGATAAAACGCTAGGCTCAGATTTTTTTCCCCAGGCAGAGCATTTCAATATATATGAAGAATTCTATAGAATAAAAAAGGGAAAATCCTAAACTCATTGTGTGAAGCAAGCAGAACTTTGACGCCAACAAGCCATAAACTGAGTGTAGAAAAAGATATGAAAATTAAGGCCATTCTCATTCCTGAAGCAAATCGTAAAATCCCAAATGTAACAAGATTTATGTGGATTCTTTGAGGGTTAGAAGGAAATTTCCTTCTGCCAGATCCTGCTACTCTGGGACAACCCACACACAAATTTATGTTTTGAGATTTTCTGTAATACCCATGCAATATGGAACTGGCTTGACAATCTGTGTGATAGCCAGCCTGTGGCCATGACTTCTCAGGGACACAAATCTTTTCTGTTTGCCTCCTTGTTCTGCTCAGCTCCAAGAGAACTTTGACCAAAGTTCCTTGAGCTTGGAAATAGGAATGGGTTTGCTTCTGTTTCACCCTTACTGTGAAGATACAGTCCGGTGGAATCCAGATCCACTGGGAGAGAGTCGGCTATTAAACTCTTTTCATGAGTAGTCCCTAGGCCTTGACTGGAGTCTTTCTTGAGATATGAGGCTAATAGTTCCTTCTTGGTCCACCACTTTTTGATATAATTAATGCTTCTTCTATTGGGAATTTTTAATTGTTTGGGAAGTGACATGGTTTGGTGTGTCTCCATTCAAATCTCAGCTTCAATTGTATCTCCCAGAATTCCCTCGTGTTGCGGGTGGGACCCAGGGGGAGGTAATTGAATCATGGGGGTCGGTCTTTCTCATGCTATTCTTGTGACAGTGAAGAAGTCTCACGGGATCTGATGGGTTTTTCAGGGGTTTCTGCCTCAGGTTCTTCCTCATTCTCTCTTGGCATTGCCATGTAAGAAGTGCCTTTATTCGTATACCATGATTCTGAGGCCTCCACAGCCATGTGGAACTGTCAGTCCAATTAAACCTCCTTTTATTCCCAGTTTCAGGTATGTCTTCTTCAGCAGCGTGAAAATGAACTAAGACAGGAGGTTTGGTCCAAATAACCTTGGCTTCCATGACAGAAGATAGAAGTTGCTGAAATGTTTAATCTTTTCTGTGGCAACCTTTTGCAGTGGGTCTTATTTTTCTCATTTTTTTTTTCTTGTTCTCTTCACCTTTGTTTCTCACAGGGTACTCTCGCTCTGTAGACCAGGCTGGAGCGCAGTGGCAGGATCTCAGCTCAACACATCCTCCGCCTCCCAGGTTCAGCCTCTGCAGTAGCTGGGATTACAAGCATGCATCACCACGCTCAGCTAATGTTTTGTATTTTTAGTAGAAGCCAGGCTTCACCATGTTGGCCAGGCTGCTCTCCTACTACAGATCTCAGGTGACCCGCCCGACTCAGCTTCCCAAAATCCAAAGTGCTGGGAATACAGGTGTGAGCCACCGAGCCCAGCCAACTCCAGTACTTTTTACCTAAGCCAGTGGACGAGTGGAGTTGCCTTTATTTTTTTTTTTTCTTTTTTCAGTCATGGTCTCGCTGTGTCATCCAGGCTGGAGTGCAGTAGTCTGATCTTGGCTTACTATACAATCTCTGCCACCCATGTTCAGGTGGTTCTCCTGCCTCAGCCTCCCAAGTAGCTGGGACCACAGGAAAGTGCCACTAGGTCTGGCTAATTTTTGTATTTTTGGTAGAGACAGCTTTTTGCCATGTTGCCCATGCTGGTCTCCAACTCCTGACCTCAAGTGACCCACCAACCTCGGCCTCCCAAAATGTAGAAATTACAACAAGAGCCACGAAGCCTGGCCTGGAGTTGTGGCTTTTTGACATAAGAAATCTGTGGAGGGAAAAGCTTGGTTTGTGGGAGCACCCGAGCTCAGTTTGGCTCAAAGGTTTGGGATACCTATTATTGAGTGGCAGTGATGGTATGTTGTTAATGTACAATATGTTCCTGTATATAGCATACGTCTATGCTCATCAGATATTTTCAGGTAAAAAAAAGATAGTCTTTCCAGTAGTTTGAGCCATTATAGCAATTTCCACCAGGGGATTTCAAAGTCCAATTCCAGTTGTGGGCAACAGTGATTAACATAATGGTAATTAATGAGAAGAGATTTTGAGACGTCCAGCCACGTTTCCATGTCAGTGCCTTGTTTGCAGTATTATGAAGAAAGAGTGCATTGGACTAGATACTAAGAAAAACATTGAATTATTTTTCTTGCCTCTATAACATCAAAGGACAATTAGAGATATAGAAACTATGGAACATTTCACAGCATGGCTTGACATTTCACTGAACTTTTATCCTTTTAACCATGTACAAAGTTTGTTACCTATGCAAAGGTAGGACTGCAAAAGGAAGACAGAGGTGGAGTCAGAGGTCACAATCCACAGCAAGGTGACACTCTTGTTGATCGCACCTTGAAAGCCAAATTAGAGCGAGAATTAACTTTCCGGTTGCCGTAAGAGAACAAGGAGAATGAAGCTACCAGCAGTTAACAGTATTGGATTAATTGAAATGAAGGTGGACAGAGTTTTTTGGCTTTCCATCAAATTGAGTAAAGAAAAGGTAACCGCTTATCTAATTTCACACACATACAATTATGGATTAATTAAAAGATTACACAACCCATATATTATGGGTTTCTCATATAAGTGTATATATACATGGGCAAACTCACAGTGTGCCAGTATGTGTCTATATCCAAATATATACAAATCCATGTCCAACAGTTAGCAAGTGAGAAATTCTCTTCCATTTCACCATTCCCTTTCCTAGAATTTTTTCATAAATATAATTTTTCCATATATTTGAAGCCTACTCTCTGGAGGCATGTAATGCATGCATGCAGTAAACCTGTGCGATATCACAATGTTGGTGTCAGAGAAAACTATAACACCGATGTTATAAAAGATTAATTGTGAGGAGAAAGTTATGCTTCGCATTACTACAAATACACAAGTATGATTTCATCCAAAGCTGAAATCAGTCAATATAATTTGTTTTTAATGTTTTATTTAAAATCCTTAATTTCAACAGGATTACTCAAGAAAAATAACGTTATTGGTATTAAATAATGTTGACGTATTCCCTTTAATTGTTGATTATTTAAAATGTCAGTAAAATAGTAAATGGCACTGTACAATGTAGTTTCATGAAGCATTCTTTATAGTTTTCATAAAATTGATAGTCTCCATGGAATATTTTAAGACTGAGGAAGTTCCATATATCATTTGATTGTACTTTCACTTTATTACTTGCTTGCATGTCATAACTGATGGAAATAAAACTATGTATATTTACAAATATGAAAAACATGGATTTTTGTTTACGTTTTCTAGTGAGACACAGTTACCAATAATTTTATCTATATAGGAAAATTTTTACAAACCCAAAGTTCTAATGTTTCTTTTCTTTGAAGTTTCGTATTTCAGTCTAGGTATGTAATGGAATTGGCTGTGATCATTCTTTGATTTCACTGTTATTTGTGAGTTTCTGATATGCTTTTAGGAATGAATAGAGTTTAACGCTTGCTTTCTTCTTCTTCCTCTACCTTTGGACCTGTATATGCGATGTCTGCAGTAATGTGCAGTGCTATCTGACATACG